>NC_000007.14:145822016-145973531 GCF_000001405.40 Homo sapiens
TTCTGCTTGAAGAACCTTCTTAAGAATTTCTTATAGAAAATGTCTAGTGGCAATGAATTCCTTCAGCTGAAAGTATCTCCTTTGGGTCCACAGCCCACAAGGCAGCTGCAATGGCACTGGATTCCAGGGCACAGATGTTTGGAGCAGCTGTAGAGCCAGGTTTCTGGGTTTATGGGCTTGTGAAATTACTGTGGCATCAGGGACGTGAGGGTGAGTTCACTTTTCAAAGTCTGAGTGGATGCAGTTTTTCCCCTAACCTGGAATGTGTTGCTCTGGAACATACCCCAGCAGCTTCAGTACAAGGGAGTTGAAATGTAGCTGTGATACTTATGTGGGGGTCATGGAACAGCACTGGCATAGCTCTGGGTAAGAACAGGTGCTCTAAAGGCTTGGGCCTCAAGAAGAGGGCACAGGTGCAATTCAGGACCCAGAGTCAGCAGAGCACAGTGGCAGCTCAGGCTCCTGGGGATGGGGGAGGGCAGTGAGGTTACCATTTAATGGTGACTCTGGGCCCTGGGATGGTGGAACATGGCAGTAGCCAAGACTCTTGAGGCCAGATGCAGCAGCAGCAATTGCCCAGGAATGGCAAGATGGCACAGCATAGGCTTTTCTCTGGAGGCAGCTCAGCATATGAACTCTGAGGTGCTCCCTCAATTGGGCTCAGAGCCTGCAAGGACTGTGGGAATTTTCACTGGTGATGACTGTAGTAGTCCACAGTAGTGATGGGGGCTACCAGTGTTCTGTTGTTTACCTTTTCACTGTAGAAAGGAGTGTCTCCTGGTTCTGAGCTGATCCCAACTGGGGGGCCCAACTGGGGAGTGGGTTGGCAAAAGCAAGCTGTTTCTGTCCCTTCCCTATGGAGCCATACTGGGTTTCTATGCTCTACAAATTTCTGTTGCTTCTTTGCTATTCACCAGAGCTCTCCTCCAGTTGTTTTGGCAAAAATGTAGTTGTTTATTCATTTTATGTATATATGCGTGTGTAGTCTTGTTTTGTTTTGCCAGGGGAAAAAGTGCTAAGAGCTTCTAGTTGGCCATCTTGCTGACATCACCCCCAGATTTGTTCCTTAAAAGCATCTTAGGAACACATTTGTTTTTGTCAGGTCTGGCTGCTATAACAATACTATAGTCTGTAGACATAGAAACATTTATTTCTCATAGTTCTGGAGTATCCAGTTAGAAGATCAAGACACCACCAGATCTGGTGTCTAGTGAGGGTAATCTTCCTGGTTTGCAAATAAATGTCTTCTTGCTGTGTCCTCATATGTTGGGGAGCAGACAGAGAAGAAGCAATCTGTCTGGTGTCTTTTTATAATGGCTCTAACCTACCCATGAAGGCTTCACTCTTATGACTTGATTACCACTCAAAGTCCCCACTTCCTAATACCATCACTTTGGGGGTTAGGATTTCAGCATATACATTTTGGGTGGATGCAAATTTTAGTCCACAGCAATAATTATTTCCAATCAGATGATGCCTGATTGGTTTACTGTTTTTTCTTTTTTTCTTTTCTTTTCTCTTTTTTTTTTTTTTTGTTGTTCTTGTTGTTTTTGAGACAAAGTCTTGCCCTTGTCCTCCAGGCTGGAGCGCGATGGCACGATCTCAACTCACAGCAACCTCCACCTCTTGGGTTCAAGCGATTCTCCTGCCTTGGCCGCCCGAGTAGCCACCACACCTGGCTAATTTTTTGTATTTTTAGTAGAGACGGGGTTTCACCATGTTGGCCTGGCTGGACTCGAACTCCTGCCCTCAGGTGATCCGCCTGCCTTGGCTTCCCAAAGTGCTGGGATTACACATGTGAGGCACCACATGCCCTGGTTTACTTTTTAAAAACAACTATATGGGCTACAATCTACACATACCATACAATTCATCCATTTTATTTATTCAATTTAAAGCTTGTTTTGTATATTTCTGTTTATAATTCTACACTCAATTACCACAATATAATTTTAGAACATTGCACTAATCACACTAAAAAGATCTTATTTGCCTGATTAGTTATTAGTCTGTCATTCTTGAACTTCTAATAATGGACATGAATGGGAAATGCTTATGATACATGTCTAAAAATTCTTATAAAAGAGAATAGATGGTTTGTAAAACTGAAATTCATAATGGATACAAAATATTTACTAGCATAGATACTAAAATAATTTTAATAATTTTATTATTCCTAATTTTGAATGTAAGAGGTATTAAATATGTCATGAATTTTCAGTAATATTTCTTTTCAACCATCTGAATGAAAATGATATGCAATTGGTTCATCTTCTGGACAAATGTGATTTGGTATTTACCAAATAAACACACTTGATCAAGCACATTTTGTTCATATTACATTAAACAATATTTCTTAATCAAATATCTTATAGCATAAGGTAGTGAATACTGTTAAATTAACACATCTAAAAATAGTATATGATTTAAATAACCTTTCAATTTAATTAAAATTTAGACAATTACTACGTTAATTAAAAATTCATCTCTAATATAATTAGCAAATGTAAGATAGTAGCTATTTTTTGTCTCGTCCAACACCAAACATCAATACTATCAAGTTCTATTTTATTTTAGTATTTAACCTATAGAAATAAGAAAGGGTAAGTAATAACATGTTTTAGGCATAATATCTACAATATAAAATTCTCACCCATATCATATTTTTTTCTTTTTGGATATTTGGAAATGCTCCTAAGTGCAAACTCAGTTATTCAAAATGTATGAATCATTTCTGTTTCTGTAAGTGGATTATGGTATCTTTATTAATAAGTTTTATCTTAAATGTTATCTCTTGTTTTACAATTTTCTAGTAGTTTACATATATTTAATAACTCCAGTTCATTGTTTCTCCAAAGTATTTTCCTTGAAGTAGTCTTCTATGGGATATGCTGACAGGAACAATTTCAAAGTCAAACAGCTTTGCGAAAGTGCATATTCTTTAGAAATTTTCAACATTCATGTACATATTAAAATGCCTCTGAACCCCTGCAGCAAGAAAACCTATGGTTTTTGCTTGTTTATAATCCCAGTTCCCCAAAGTCATTTGCTCACAGATTTAAAAATACTATTAGAATGTAACAGCATCCCACAGAGTAGTGTTCTGTGGAGCATTTTTTGGGAAACATTGATTTAAGCCAAGATTACTAGCAACTGAGTGGGTTTGTTTTCTTTTTGTTAATTTTCATTGTAATGACTCTATTTTGGGATCCTTCATTCTGGATATTTTCCTGTCTTTTCATTCATTCCACACTGTCTCAAGGACTGTAGCATTATATAAAATTTTAGTATGAAAGACTGCTAGTCTTAAACCTTTATTGCTCTCGTAAGATATTATTTTAGATATTTGGTATCTTTGCATTTTCATAAAAATGTTAGAAGCAGCTAGACAATTTATTCAAAAAGTTCCTGAGATTTTTGTTGTGATGATGCTTAATGTATATATCAATTTAGGGAAAAATCAGTATCTTAAAAACATTGCATTTACGAAAATTTGTATGTGGTGTTAAGTCTTTACCACTCCAGGTCTTTTTAAATTCATCTCAACATGTTTCATTGGTTTCAGTGTACAGTTCTGCATCTTTTGTAAGGTTTATTTATAGGCAATTGATGTTTGTTGATGCTATTATAAATGTTATTTTAGATTTATTTTGCAGTTATTTAGTGTTACTATATATAAAACTGTTTATATTGCCTTTGTTTCCCGTAACCTAAAGTCACTTACCGGCTCTAGGAGCTGTAATTTGTGTAGTTTACTAGGACTGCTATAACAACATACCGCAAACTGAGTGACTTCAACAAGAAAAATTTATTATCTCACAGTTTTGGGGGTAGAAGAAGTCTGATATTAAAAGGTGCTGGCAGGGCTGTGATCCCTCCAAAACCATTACGGAAGGATCTGTTCCAGGCCTTTCTCTTAGTATCTCGTAGCTCTTCGGGTTGTGGCTGTGTAACTAAAAATTCACATGGCATTCTCATTGTGTCCAAATTTTCTGGTTTATAAGGATACCAATCATATTGCATTAGGGGTTCAACTTCCTTCAACACAATACAGCTTCATCTTTTCTAATTAATCTGCAGTGACTCTATTCCCCAATAAGTTCACATTTTGTGGTACTGGGAATTAAGTCTTCAACATATTTTTAGGAGATATAATTCAACTCATAACAATGTTTCATATAGCTTTTAAAGGATTGTCTCTCTATATAATTATGTAGTTTTCGAATAATGAGTTTTCCATTTTATTTTATAATTTATGTCTTGTATATATGCATATATATGTAGATAGATAGATATAGATGATAAGCACAAAGATACCTAGGCTTACAACATTATTACACTTTTTAAATTAGGGAGTGAACAAACACTTTGTTTAGGCAAAAAATCATCTCACGTACTGACATCAAATTATTGGTAGTAGAATTCCCTTTTGGTAAGTATCATGACAACAAATATGTTGTTACTATATATACATACATATATATAGGCAAACATGTTGTCACTATATATATATGTATGTATATGTGTGTGTGTGTGTGTGTGCGCGTGTATATATATATATATATATATATATATATAGCCAACTGGGTAATATATACATATATATATGAAGGTTTAAATCCTGCGGTTACCTTAGAAAAGCTAAGTAACTTTCCCAAGGTATATATAACTAGTGGCTGGGCGAGCTGGAATTTATACTGTGACTTTCTGTCCTGCACTCTCAGTTACCGTATGCTAATGCTGTTAGCATTAAGGCAGGCTCATTGGTCATAGAGTTGAATAAGTGTTATTCTTTGCTTCAAGAATGGACTTTCTTATGTTTTACAGCAACTTACTTTCCAGGATCCCTGTTCTCATACAATCCCAAGTCAGTTTTCCATTTTTCCTGTGGTTCTAATTTGGAGACTTTGAAATCCTTGAGGATAAATCTCATGTTTATTTCATCATTAAAGCCCCTCAGTTAACCAGAATGGCCAACACATTGTAACTGTCAAATACATGATTCATTCATCAAATGTGGAATGAAGTTTTTACTGCAGTTAAAATTTAGTGATTATTTTTAACATATTCTGTATTAGACTAAAAGTTTTTAATCAGAAGGAGAAAAAACATATTTAAATAACTACAAAAATAATTATTTTGAAGGATAAGCACAAAGATACCTAGGCTTACAACATTATCACACTTTCTAAATTAGGGAGTGAACAAACACTTTGTTTAGGCCAAAAAGTCATCTCACATACTGACATCAAATTATTGGTAGTGGAATTCCCTTTTGGAAAGTACCATGATCAATGGGGTTGTTACAATGGGTAGTAATGTCTGCAGAACATGTGAAAACTTTTTAAACATTCATCTGGATAAAGTGTTTTGTCAACATTTTAACTAAAAAAGGCTGTGCATGTGGCTCACACTCCTAATCCCTGCACTTTGGGAGGCCAAGGCAGGTGAATCAGTGGTTAGCATTTCTTTTCTTCTTCTTCTTTTTTTTTTTTTTTTTTTCCTGAGACAGTGTCTCGCTCTGTTGCCCAGGTTGGAGTGCAGTGGCGCGATCTCAACTCACTGCAAGCTCCGCCTCCCGGGTTCACGCCATTCTCCTGCCTCAGCCTCCCGAGTAGCTGTGGTCAGGATTTCAAGAGCAGCCTGAGCAACCTGCTGAAACCTCGTCTCTACACACACGCACAAAAGTACAAAAATTAGCCCAGTGTGGTGGCATGTGCCTATAGTCCCAGCTGAGGTGAGAGGATCACTTGAGCCCCAGAGGTGGAGGTTGCAGTGAGCCAAGATGCCACTGCATTTCAGTCTGGGCAGCCGTGAGACCCTGTCAAAAAAAAAAAAAAAAAAATTAACTAAGAGAAAAATACATGTAGGGACAAGAACACAAATAACTTTTCTCCCCTGATGGTTTGTATAAGACATAGCTCGAGTTCAAATTATGAAAAACCCATTTGAAAATACACCTTAACTTAATGTCAGTAACTCAGTTTCTAGTAGACAACGAAGACACTTAGACACTTTGCATCAGAAATATTTTCTCCAAACTAAAAGATGGAACATGAAAGGTAATTATAAACTAACATGGGAAAGCCGGATTACTCAGGAAGAAAATGAACAATAAGAAGAAAATTAAAATTAAAATTGCATTTTTCTCCTATACTTGTGTGAAAATAAAATGATCTTATAAAAGCTTAATTGTAATGGTAAGTCTGCATGTTGAATGTGTAGAAGTTTAATTAATAAGCTCAATAAATTTGATCGTATACATAGATGCTTCTATATTCAAATTCATAGTTTTAATAATTTGAATTATTTTTCATACTAATAAAAAATGCTTGAATAGTCTTTAGAATAGCATTCTTAATCCACAAATTAATGAGCTCAGAAACTCATAAAAATTAAAGAAAAGATATTAAGTTTTAAATTAATAAAAAGAGCATAATTCAGAATCACAAAAGAAAACAGAATTGAGTATTAGTGTCAAATGTGCAATATGGATAATAAAAAAGTAAAAATAAGGGATTAACATTGGCGTGGGGAAGTATAATTTTGAATTAAGAGTTATAGGAATAAAATTAGATTACTAAAATAGGCAAAAATTCTTCAATTGAAGAATATTATTTTTTCTGGATTGGTTGTCGGAAGAAATTAATTTCCACAGTAATCAACAAAACCAACAAATATAGGCTCAATTCTCTTTTGTCATTTCATAGAGAAATTTCTTGTGTTTATATTTACTTCAGTTAAATGAGTTTACTTAAACAAAATATTTAATCCACAACACTATGAAAATAGCACAGTCTACTTTAAATGTAAAGATTAAAATAGGTTAGAAGTAAAAGGATGGAGAAAAATACATCAGAATGCTAATTAAAGGTAAAATCTGTACAATTTTCAGACAAAGAAGGACTTAGAATACATCTTATCAGAAATAAGGAGATCCATAAAATAATGAGAAAAATGTCTATTATCCAGGAAAATATAAAAATCTTAAACCTTTATGCACCTAACAATGGAACATAAAAATACAAAGATCAGTACAGACAGAACTGAAAGGAGACAAATAGACAAATCCACTCTTATAATTCTGTATTTTAGCACCTCTTTTTAATAACTGATAGACCAAGCAGGCAGAAAACCACTAAGGATATGATTGATCTGAAAAGCACTATCAATCAACTTGATCTAATTGACATTTAAAGAATACTCTACCCAATAATGCCAGAATACAAACTTTACCAAATTTAAAAGAGCAGAAATCATACAAAGCATACTCTGAGAGCACAATTGAATACAGAATTAGTGGCCTTCCAAAATAGAAAGCAATAGGCCCAGATTACATCACCTTTGAATTCCACCGTTGGAGGAAGAAATGATACTAACCCTCCACAATCTCAACAAAAAAATGGAAGCAGAGAGAGCACTTTTTAACTCATTTTATTAGATCAGCACTATCTGAATAACAAAACCAGATCAAAGACATTACAAGAAAGAAAAACTAAACACCAATATCTCTCATCAACACAGATACAAAATACTTCACCAAAATATTAGCAAACGTAATGGAATAATTCATAAAAATAATTTTATCACCAAGTGAAATTTGTTTCAGATATATAGGACTGGTTCATTATCCAAAAGTAAATTAAAATAATCCACCACATCAACAGGCTAATAAGAAATATGATAACAATATTATCAGATCAATTCATGTGAAAGAATCCTTTGACAAAAGCCAGTATTCATACAAGATAAAACTTTCAACAAAGGAGGAAAATTTTCTCAACCTGATAAAGAATATCTACAAAAAAATAAAGTTAATTGCATATATAGTATTAAGAATCTGGACATTTTCCTCATGTTCAGGAACAGGGCAAAAATACCTTGTTTACTTCTATTCAAAATCCATACTGAAAGTCTAGTTAATGAGAAAATACAAGAAAAGGAATGAAAACATATAGATATTGAAAAATAAATCGAACTTTAATTGTCCAGAGATGACAAGATTTCCTGTGCAGAAACTCCAAAGACCAACAAAAGAAGTGAAACTAGTATTCAAGTAAAGTAGTGTCATAGGAATCAAGATAAATATACAGAGTCAGTTGCTTTTTGATATACCAGCAATGAAGTAATTGAAATTAAAGAAAATAATACAAAATATAAATGTATCAGAAATACAAAATACTCCAGAATAAGTCTAACACTATATATATAATCTATATGTAGGATATATCTACATGCACAAACTCTGATGGCAGAAGTCAAAGGTCTAAATAAATGTAAAGATATTCTGTATCATGGATTGGAAGACTCAATACTGTTAATATGTCAATATTTTCCAAATCATTCTATCTGTTCAACACAATTACAGTCAAAATCATAAGATATTTTGTATATATCAAAAACTAATTATAAAATATGTATTGAAAGGGGGAAGACCTACAATAGCCAAGAACATTTTGAAGAAAAATAACTAATTTGGAAGCTCACACTACCCAATTGTAAGACTTGCAATAAAGATACAGTAATCAAGAACGCATGGTATTGGTCAAAGAATAGACACATAGATCAGTGGAATAGAATATAAAGCTCAAAAATACACCCTTACAAAACAGTTGACTGATTTTTGGAAAAGAATCAAAGGCAATTCAATGGACAGTCTTTTCAAGAAATTGTGCTAGAAAAATTAGACACTTCTATGCAATAATTGAACCTAAACACAGGTATAACATTTTAATTGCATTATAGACCCAAATGTAAAATTCAAAATGAGCAAATTCCTGGAAGAAATTATAGAAGAAAGGTGATACTGGGTTTAGCTACATATTTTAAAATAAAAGACCAAACATTTTTCATGAAAAAGTCATAAGTTGAAGTACGTTAAAAGTAAAATTTGCTTTGTGAAAGACGCTGTTAAGATAATCAAAACAAAAGCCAAAGAATGAGGAAATATTTGAAAGTCACATGTCTGATAAAAGACTTGTATCCAAAATATACAAATAATGATTAAAACTCAACAGTAAGGAAACAAAAAGTACAATTTACAATTTTAAAATAGGTACAAGATCTGAACAGATCTGATCTTAAAATTCAGATATTGTTGAAAAAGAAACAAACATCAAAAATGATTTATCAATTTTTTTAGTAATTTTGTGCACATAAGGAAATATTTTTGATAACTTTGAATTTCAAAGTGTATAATGACTCAGGTAAAAATAACCCGTGTTACTATTATAAAAGAGATGATTAACAACAGGTGAGGTGATTAAGAAAACTGCAAAGGAGTTAAGGGCATAGCTTCATGATCTAAATTACCTGAGTTGGAAGTTTAACCTGGTAGTTTCTTGCTGTCTAAACTTTAATAAGTTACTTAGCCTCTCTGAAATATAGTTTCCTCATTTAAAAAATGAATCAAAATAACTGTGTCTTAATGTTAGTAGAATAAAGAAATATAGAGAACTTAGAACAATGCCAAACACATGGTAAACACTCAATAAAAGTTGTCTATTTAACTTATGCATTTCAAAATCAAAAGGTACTCAAGGTTATAATTTTTAAAAGTTACATCTTAACTGCATCTTCTGTCATCTAGTTTCCTTCTGTATTAGGCTTTTTTCAATCAAAGAAGCAAAACCACTGGGATATGGTTAAATATATATTTATTGCTGGGGTCTGACCAACACAATTTTAGGATAAGGTCAAACAGTGTAATGCTGTTGACTTTGTGACTGACACTGAAGCTTTAAGTCTGTGAGGCAGAAGGGAAAAGAAATGTAAAGTGGCCATCAGCAAGGACAACCTGGAAGCCACCTGCACCAGCTGAAACTCACAAGGGGTAACTGAAACGCCTCTCAGTTTTCAAAGCCTCTAACTTTGATGATGTGAATGATCTGCAGAAGAAGCTGGAACCCTTCCTTCATCAAGGAGCTAAACATGCACCTCGCCCAAGCATCAGAGCGGCTGACTGGGGATCCAGGGAAAGGTGTAGCAGTGACAGCCCTGGCTGCTGCCTCATACCCACAAAGTGAGCCACCAGATGGGGGACAGTGGGGAGGAATGACAAGAGTCACCGATGACCCTGCCCCAACCTTCCAAGCATTAAAAAGTGACTGCTGCCCTACTTGCACCCTCAAAATTTGACACTAAAATGTCTATGGTGTCCCATCCTAACCAGAAACATGCAGAAAAAGGAATTCTGGGAAATATAATTCATCCTTGTCAAGAAGTCACAACTACAACATCACTGCCACACCACCTCTGGGCAACTAATGGTATCAGATTGTTTTTATACTTCTAGATGAAGTTTATGTTTGTATGAAAAATAAGTATTATATTAAAAATTTAGAACACTATTCTAAACGTACTTTCAGAGCAATAAATCAACTTTCAGAAATTGGACGTTGTTACAAATAGCTTCAAATGAAATTTGACTTTTTATCACTTGGTTGGTTGGAGTTCAGTAATTTTGTTTGTTTGCTTGTTTGCTTTTAATAAAAAGCACTGTAATGTCATATTACTCGCACTCATGCATATTTCAAATTTGGATGTTACCTTAACAAGTGAAGTACAAATTAGGTGCATATTAAAATTACAATTCATTTTTTTATACCACAACTCCACAGATAGTGTTCCTTTGTCCTTTGGAGTGTAGTATACAACAGAGAAATTTGATTTCTGATTAAGACTTTTAGCTTATCTCATTATTCTGCATGGATTTTACTAATATGCTTAGTTTACACTGAAATTTTTAATTTTAATGAATTTTCTTTAAACTGCAGTCAGTATTTTGATCAGATTACAAATAAATATTTTTCTATGATATTTAAAAATATGTCTCCTGTTCATGCACCTTTTTGCCACTTTATCTATACCTGTTTTGTTCTACTGCTGTTTCTACAGAAGCTTTCTACTTTTAAAAAATATTAAAACTTCTCTTCAGATAACCTTTTGGTTAGCAGTAGATTATTTCAAGACCTTTTTGTGGGCCTTCTGAGTTAATGCCACAATGTTGTTTAGTATTTTTCTAAGGCCACACGTTAGCTACTTTCTCTTTTCTTATGTTTAAAGTAAGATTTGTTCAAACTTAAAAAGAGATGTCTATGTTCTCATTTTATGCCTACTTATGTGGTGGTCAAATCTGCCTCTGAAACAAAATGTTAACCAGCAGGTTGATGTATAAAATTAACAGTCCAAATACAGACTTTTATTTAGAGTAACTCCATGCACTTGTGGGTTTTCTTCCTCCCACTGCTAATTCCTGGCTTCCTGTTACTCTAGTCAAAATTCGTTCGGAATGTTCTGCCATTTATATCACTTTACTTTAGAGAGAATTGCCTAAAAGACTTCCAGCCACTTCATTTAGTTATTTCATGGTATTGACAATCATTTCATGACGATACATACATGGGGGTGCTATAGGGGAGGATCATGTAAGGATGAGGAGAATTCATGCTTTGCAAGTTTGCCTACTCATCCTCTGATGGGTTGTGGAGAGTGCATGCCCAGTTTTCTTATTTATACTTTAAATTTTCAACCCTTTCTGTCTCAGTGCTTCTAAATGTTATAAAACACTTCCATTAGTAAGTATAGCTCTGTGTAGATAATAGTTAATTATTAATATGGTAACTAATATCTGTTTAACATTTATTGAGGATTTACAATATGTTGAGCACTGCTCTAGGCAGTTTATGTGGATTATCTTATTTCAGCCTCCAAACGATCCAGTGATTTAGTTTGGAATTCCTATTTACAGTTGAAGATCCCAAGTTACAGAAAATAAGCAGTTTGACTAGTGCTATAAACTTGGTGGAAGAGTCAGGATTCAATGGTACATAATTAGGCTCCTAAAGTAGCTCTCGCAGTTGAACTGCCTTGTGGGCAGGTGAGTAAAGTTAGAAAAACAAAACCTCTCGATTAATTCTGGCAGAACCCAGGGCATTCTCTCTCCATGGAGAATCCCTGGTGTAGGCTGTAAATCTCAGCATCAGAGCATCAAAAGATCAATTATAGGGATTTAGAAACTTCTGCATTTCCATGTAGCCTATTTTCAAAAAATACAGGCAAAATTTACTACATATTGAAACCATGACAATTTACTCAATTTTACTGTCTCATTTTTAAGTATTTATTTTAATGGTTGTATACACATAGTAGGTGTATATATATGAGGTACATGAGATATTTTGATACAGGCATACAATGTGTATGAATCACATCAGAGTAAATGGAGTATTCTTCTCTCCAAGCATTTATCCTTTCTTTGCGTTACAAACAATCCAATTATACTTTTAGTTATTTTAAAATGTACAATAAATTATTGTTCCCTTTAGTCACCTTGTTGTGCTATCCAATAGTAGATCTTATTCATTCTGTCTAACTGTATTTTTGTGCGCATTAACCAACCCCATTCCCCAGCTCACTACCCCTTCCAGCCTCTGGTAACCATCATGATACCGTCTATGTCCATGAGTTCCATTGTTTTAAGTTTTTAGCTCCCACAAATAAGTGAGAACATACAAAGTTTGTGTTTCTGTACCTGGCTTATTTCACTTAATGCAATGACCTCCTGTTCCATTCATGTTGTTGCAAATGACAGAATCTAATTATTTTTTATGACTGAATAGTACCCCACTGTGTATATGGACCACATTGTCTTTGTCTATTAATCTGTTGATGAAAACTTAGGTTGTTTCCAAATCCTAGCTATGATGAAGAGTAATGCAATAAACATGAGAGTGCAGGTATCTCTTTGATATATTGATTTCCTTTCTTTTTAGTATCTAGCAGTGAGATTGCTAGATGGTATGGTAGTTCTATATTTAATTTTTTGAGGAAACTCCAAACTGTTCTTCATAGTGGTTGCACTAATTTACATTCCCACCAAGAGTGTACAAGGATTCCATTTTTCTCCACATTGTCTCCAGCATTCATTATTGCCTGTCTTTTGGATATTAGCCATTTTAACTGGGGTGAAATATATCACATTGTAGTTGTGATTGCTATTTCTCTGATTATTAATGATGTTGAGCATATTTTCATTTGCCTGTTTGCCATGGTCTTCTTTTGAGAAATGTCTATTCAGATCTTTTGTCCATTTCTAAATTGGATTATTAGATTTTTTTCTATAGAGTTATTTGTCTCCTTCTATATTCTGATTAATAATACCTTGTCAGGTGGTAGTTTGCAAATATTTTCTTCCATTCTGTGATGTGCCTTTTCATTTTGTTGATTGTTTACTTTGTTGTGAAGAAGTTTTTTAACTTGATATGATCCCATTTGTCTATTTTTGCTTCGGTTGCCTGTGCCTGTGGAGTATTAATCAAGAAATCTTTGCCCAGTGCAATGTTCTAGCAAGTTTCTCCAATGTCTTCTTTTAGTGGTTCTATAGTGCGAGGTCTTCAGTATAAGTCCATTTTAATCCATTTGTTTCAACCCATTAGTTTTAATCCATTGTGATTGGATCTTTGTATATAGTCAGAGATAGTGGCCTAGTTTCGTTCTTCTGCATATGCATATCCCGATTTTCCAGCAGCATTTATTGAAAAGACTGTTCTTTCCTCAATGTATATTCTTGGCACCTTTATTGAAAATGAGTTCACTTTAGATGTATGGATTTGTCTCTAGGTTCTATATGCTGTTCCACTAATCTATGTGTATGTCTATGCCAGTAACATGCCATTTTGTTTACTATAGCTCTGTAGTATAATTTATAATCAGATAATGTGATTCCTGCAGTTTTATTCTTTTTGTTTAGGAAAACTTTGGTTATTCTGGGTCTTTTGTGGTTTCATATAAATTTTACAGTATTTTTTCTATTTCTGTAAAGACTGTCATTGGTATTTTGATAAGAATTGCATTAAACCTTTAGATTGTTTTGGGTGGAATAGACATTTTAACAATATTGATTCTTCCAATGCATGAACATGGAATACCTTTTGATTTTATTGTGTCTTCATCAATTTTTGAATCAATGTTTTATTGTTTTCATTATAGACATCTTTCATTTCTTAAGTTTATTCCTAGGTATTTTATTAGCAACTATTGTAAATGAGATTACTTTCTTAAATTTTTCAGATTATCATTTACTGGCATATAAAATGTTACTGATTTTTGTATGTTGAATTTGTATGCTGAAACTTTACTGAATTTGTTATCAGTTCTAATATTTTTTGGTGGAGCCTAGCTTTTTCCAAATATAAGTTTATGTAATCTGTGAACAAGGATAATTTGACTTCTTCCTTTCTAATTTGGATGCCCTTTATTTCTTCCTCTTGTCTGATTGCTCTAGTTAGGACTTCCAATAGTATGTTGAATAGTAGTGGTAGAAGTGGATATCCTTGTCTTTTTCCAGATCCAAGAGAAAATTCTTTCAGCATCTCCTCATTTGGTATGATACTAGCTGTGAGTCTGTCACATGTGGCTTTTACTGTGTTTAGTTATTTTTTGTACTCATTTTTTGAGGGTGTTTATTGTGATGAGATGTTGAATTTTATCAGACGCTTTTTCAGAATCAATTGAAATGATCATATGGTATTTGTCCTTTATTCTGTTGATATGATGTGTCACACTGATTGCTTTGTATACGCCGAACCATCCTAGCATCCCAGGGATAAATCTCACTAAGTTGTAATGAATGATCTTCTTAATGTGTTGTTGAATTCAGTTTGCTAGTAGTTTGTTGAAATTTTTTCCATCAATCTTTATCAGGGATATAGGTCTGTAGTTTTCTTGGTTTGATGGGTCTTTGCCTGGATTTGGTATGAGGGTGATAATGTCCTCAGAGAATGAATTTGGAAGCATTCCATCCTCCTGTATTTTTTTGGAATAGTTTAAGTAGGATTAGAATTCATTCTTTGGTTAAATTCAGCAGTGAAGCCATAGGATTCTGGGTTTTCTTTGCTGGGAGTCTTTTTATTTTGGCTTTGATCTCATAGCTTGTTATTAGTATGTTCAGGTTTTTATTTTCTTTATGATTCAATCTTGGTAGGTTTCCCATTTCAAACTACACTACAAGACTACAGTAACCAAAACAGTGTGATACTGGTAAAAAAAGAACAGATGCATAGACCAATGAAACAGGTTAGAGAACTCAGAAATAAAACCACAGATATACAACCATCTGATCTTCAACAAAGCTGACAAAAACAAGCAAAAAGGAAAGAAACTTCTATTCAATAAATGGTGCTGGGATAACTGGCCAGCCATATGCAGAAGATTGAGTGTGAACCCCTTCTTTTTGCCATACACAAAAATAAACACAAGATGGATTAAAGACTTAAATGTGAAACCTAAAAGTATAAAAACTGTACAAGAAGATCTAAGAAATACCGTTCTAGACATAGGCCCTGGTAAAGATTGTATGACAGAGATGCCAAAAGCAATTGCAACAAAAGCAAATATTGACAAGTGGAACCTAATTAAAGAGCTTCTGCACAGTAAAAGAAACTATCAACAGAGTAAACAGACAACCTATAGAATGGGAGATAATATTTGTTAACTATGCATCTGACAAAAGTCTAATATCTAGACTCTATAAGAAGCTTAAACTAATATGCAAAAACAAGTAACCCCATTAAAAATAAGCAAAGGTCATGAATAGACACTTCTTAAAAGAAGACATACACACAGCCAAGTATATGAAAAAATGCTCTAGATCACACATTATTGGAGAAATGCAAACTAAAACCACAGTGAGATATCATCTCACACCATTCACAATGGCTATTACTAAAAAGTAAATCATCAGTCTCAGTAAACTATCCCAAGAACAAAAAACCAAACACCACATATTCTCACTCATAGGTGGGAACTGAACAATGAGAACACATGGACCACATGGACACAGGAAGGGGAACATCACACTCTGGGGACTGTTGTGGGGTGGGGGCAGGGGGGAGGGATAGCTTTAGGAGATCTACCTAATGCTAAATGACGAGTTAATGGGTGCAGCACACCAGCATGGCACATGTATACATATGTAACTAACCTGCACATTGTGCACATGTACCCTAAAATTTAAAGTATAATAATAATAAAATTAAAAAATAAATAAATAAATAAAAAGTAAATAAATAACACATGCTATGAGGTTGCAGATAAAAAGAAATGCTTATACGCTATTGTTGGGAATATAAATTAGTTCAGCTATTGTGAAAAGCAGTTTAGAGATTTCTTGAATAACTTAAAACAGAGCAACTATTTGACCCAGCAATCCCATTACTAGGTATGTCTCCAAAGGAAAATAAATTATTCCACTAAAATATATATGACTTTGGATGTTCATTCCACCACTATCACAATAGCAAAGACATGGAATCAACCTAGATGCCCATCATTTGTGGACTGAATAAAGAAAATGTGGTGCATATACACCATGGACTACTACACAGCCATAAAAAAGAATAAAATCATGTCTTCTGCAGCAACATGGATGCATTTTCAATGAAGGCCATTATCCTAAGCAAACTAACACAGAAACAGAAAACCAAATACCACATGTTCTCACATATAAACAGGGAAACATTCAGTGCACATGGATACAAGGAAGGGAATAATAGACACCAGGGCCTACTTGAGGGTGTAAGGTGGGAAGAGGGTAAGGATTGAAAAAGTATCAAGTACCATGCTTATCACCTGGGTGATGAAATAACCTCTCCATAAAGCATCCACAAAATGCAATTTACCCATGTAGCAGACATGCATATTTCTCCCCTGAACCTAAAAGTTGGAAAGAAACAACAATCTTGATAGATTGTATGTGTCTAGGAATTTATTCATTTTTTCCGGGCTTTCCAATTCATTGGGCATATAGTTTCTCATAGTAGCCTCTAAAGATCCTTTGAATTTCTGCAGTACCAGTTGTAATGTCAGCTTTTTCATCATTGATTTATTTGGGTCTTCACCCTTTCTTTCTCATTGAGTCAGACTAAAGATTTATTTATTTTGTTTCTCTTTAAAAAACAATTATTATTTTGTTGATTTTTAATTATTTTTATTTCAATTTCATCTATTTTTGCTCCAATATGTATTACTTCTTTTCTTCTACTAATTTGGGGTGTGGTTTGCTCTTTGTTTTCTAGTTCTTTAATATGCATCATTAGGTTTTTTATTTGAAGTTTTTTGTTTTTGTTTTTGTGGTGTAGACACTTATTGCTATAATTTTCCTCCCTTAGTACTGCTTTCACTATATCCATAGGTTTTTGTATGTTGTGTATCCATTTTCATTTGCTGCAAGACATTTTAACTTTTCTTCTCAATTTATTCATTGACCTACTGGTCATTCAGGAGCATATTGTTTAATTTCCACATATTTGTATACTTTTCCAAATTCCTATTGTTATTGATTCCTAGTTATATTCCATCGTGGTCAGAGAAGCTGCTTGATTTTATTTCAATTTTTTGAATATTTTAAGACTTGTTTTGGGATGTTAACATTGGACTATACTTGAGAAGAATTTATGTGCTAAGGAGAACAATGTGTATTCTACAGCTGTTGGATGAAATGTTCTGTAAATATCTATTAGGTCCATTTGTTCTATAGTGAAGATTAAGTCCGGCATTTCTTTATTGATTTTCTGTCTGAGAGGTCTGTCCTATTCTGAAAGGAGATGTTGAAGTCTCCAGCTATTATTGTATTAGAGTCCCTCTATTTAGTTCTAAAAATATTTGCTTTGTATATCTAAGTGCTCAGTGTCGGGTGCATATATATTTAGAATTGTTATATCCTCTTCCTGAATTGACCCCTTTATCATTCTGTAATGATCTGCTTTGCCTCATTTTACAGTGTTTGTCCTGAAATCTATTTTGTCTAATATAAATATAGCTACTCCTGCTCTTTTTGGGTTTCTATTTATATAGAATATATTTTTCCATACACTATTTTTAGTCTATGAATGTCTTTATAGGTGAAATATGTTTTGCATAGGCGCAGATCATGGGGTCTTTTTATTTTACTTATTCACCCACTGTATGTCTTTTGATTGGTGAGTTTAGTCCTTTTACATTTAATGTTGTTACTGATAAGTAAAGACTTATGACTGCCATTTTGTTATTTGCTATCTAGATGTTTTGTTGTCTTCTCTTCCTTCTTTCCTTCTTTCCTGTCTTCCTTTTAGTGAAGGTGATTTTCTCAGGTAGTATGTTTTAATTGTTTGCTTTTTATTTTTTTTGTGTATCTGTTGTAAGTTTTTCTATTTCATGTTACTGTGTTTTTTAACTTTTTTCAACTTAATGCTGATTAAATAAACAAGCAAACTACATACAAGTAAAAAAAACTAATAACAACTCTACACTTTAACTTCATCCCCCCACTTTTTAACTCTTTAACATTTTGGGGTCACTATGTATATTTTATTATACTGTCTATGTCTCAAAAAGTTGTTGTAGTTATTATTTTTGGTAGGTTTGTCTTTTAGTCTTTCTATTCAAGATATAAGTAGTTCACATACCACAATAGTGAATTTGTGATATTCTGTGTTTTTCTTTGTATTTATTGTTACCAGTGAGATTTGTACCTTCAGATGATTTCTTATTAGTCAATAATGTCCTGTGTTTCAGATCAAAGAACTCCCTTTAGGATTTTTTGAAGGACAAATCTGGTGTTGATAAAATCCCTCAGCTTTTGTTTGTCTGGAAAAGTCTTTATTTGTCCTACAACTTTGAAGGATATTTTCTCTAGATACATTACTCTAGGATAAAAGCTTTTCCCTTCAACACTTTAAGTCCATTATGCCAATCTCTCCTGGTCTATAAGATTTCCACTGAGAAATCTACTATCAGATGTATTGGAGGGCCTTTGTATGTTATTTGTTCCTTTTCTCTTTCTGCTTTTAGGATTCTTTCTTTATCCCTGACCTTTGGGAGTTTGATTATTGAATATCTTGAGGTATTCTTATTTGGGTTAAAAATAAGAACTACTTGGTGTTCCATAACCTTTTTGTACTTGAATATTGATATCTTTTCTAGATTTAGGAAGTTCTCTGTTATTATCCCTTTTAATAAACTTTCTTCCCTGATCTATCTCTCTATCCCCTCTTTAAGGCTAATAACGCTTAGATTTGTCCATTTGAGGCTATTTTCTAGATGCTGTAATTGTCCTTCATTGTTTTTGTTTCTTTTGTCTCCTCTGACTGGGTATTTTCAACTAGCATGTCTTTCAGCTTACTAATACTTATTCTGCTTGATCAAGGGTGCTGTTGAGAGATTCTGACACTTTCTTCAGTGTCTGTTAAATTGTTTAGCTCTAGAATTTCCACTTGATTCTTTTAATTATTTTAATTTCTTTGTTGAATTTATCTGATATGATTCTGAATTCCTTCTCTGTGTTGTCTTGGATTTTGTTGAGCTTCCTCAAAATAGCTATTTTGATTTCTCTATCTGAATGATCACATATCTCTCTCTCTCCAGAATTTGTGACTGCTACTCTATTTAGTTAATGTGGTGAGGTCATGTTTTCTTGGATGGTCATGATGCTGGTGGATGTTAGTAAGTGTCTGGAAATTGAATTTAGGCATTTATTTTAGTCTTCACAGCCTGGGTTTGCTTGTACTTGTTCTTCCTGGGAAGGCTTTCCAAGTATTCCAGGGCACATGGGTCTTTTGATCTACACCTTTTGTCACTGCACCCATATCTATTTTAGTGGCCACCCCAAGCCCAGTAATGATGTGGCTCTTGCAGACTCATAGAGCTACCACCTTAGTGGTCTTGAGGAAGGTCTGTAAAAATTATGTAGATTGTCAGGCAGAGACTCTTGTACTTTCCCCTTACATTCCTTCAAACAAATGGATTCTTTCTCTTTCTGTGCTGAGCTGCTTGGATCTTGAGGAGAGGTGACACAAGCAACACTGTGGCCAGCACCACTGAGACTGTGTTGGGTCAGACCCAAAGCAACCAGAACAGTGGTTCTCACCCAAGGCCTGCAATGAATACTGCCTGGCTTGCCTATATTCACTCAGGGCCTTAAGGCTCTATAGTCATCAGATGGTGAATCTAGTCAGGCTTGTGTCCTTCCCTTCAAGGCAGCTAGTCCCCACCCAGCCCCTGGTACATCTGGGGATGCTGCCTGGGAGCCAGGGCCTGGAGTCAGAAATCTTAGAGATCTATTTGGTGCTTTCTTCTACTGCAGCTGAGCTGGCACCCAAGTGGCAAGACAAAGTGCTTCCCACTGTTCCTTTCCCCTTCCTTAAGCAGAGGAGTCTCTCCCTGTGGTTACCAGGCCCACAGAGAGTACTGCCTGGCTATGTCCAATGTTTGCTCAAGGCCCAAGTCTCTTTAGTTAGCTTGTGGTAAATGCTGCCAGTTATGAGACTCTTTCTTCAGGGCGGTGAGCTCCCCTCTGGCTCAGGGTGGGTCCATAAATGTCCAGGAGCCAAGGCCTGCAATCGGGGACCCCAGGAACCTACTTGGTGCTCTACCCCACTGTGGCTGAGCTGGTACCGAAGCTGCAAAATAAAGTTTTCTCTTCTCTCTCCTTTCCTCAGGCAGAGGGGTTCTCTCCCCTTGGCTACCATAGCTGGGAATATTCTGGGTCACACATGAAGCCAGCATGGCTCTGAATCTTACCCAAGGGACACAGTGAGTACTGCCTGGCTACCATGGCTGATTATTCAAGGCAGGTGATGATTCTGTCAGGACTGGATCTTTCCCTAAAAAGCAATGGGTTCCTTTCTGGCCCAGGGTACATTTGGAGATGTTGAACAGGAACTAGGGCCTGAGATAGGGGCCTCAGGAATGTGCCTGGCACCCTATTTACTATGGCTGAGCTGGTATCCAACCTGCAAGACAAAGACCTCTTTACCCTTCTCTGTCCTTCCCTCAAGCAGAAGGGCAAAGTCTCTCCTGGAGCTGCGAGCTGTGCTGCCTGCAGTTGGGGAAAGGTGGAGCATAAACATTCCCTTGGTCACGCTGGCTGGTGTTTCACTGGGTCATGTGCCGTCAGTCCACTGGCTCTGTGTATATCATAGCATGAGGACTTGCACAGGAATTGCAGTCCTTATGGCCTAGACTGCATTTCAAGTTTTCAAGTTTATGTAGGACCTGAGAGCACTTTTGCCCACAGTGGTGACGCTGGCTGGAACTCAGGTTCTGACCACTGGGATGGACAATTTGCATCTGGATTGAGCTGGCTTAAATGCTCCCTCCATGGGTACAAGATGAATCCTGTCACATGTTGCTTTCCCCTGTGAAAGGGCAGCACTGAGTTTCAATGCAAAGTCCCACAATCACTGCACTCTCCCTCCCTCAAGCACATAGATTCATGCAGCCATTGACAGGGGATGGAGAAAGGGTAGTGTCAGTAATTCAAGACTGTCTTTCCTACCCTCTTCAGTTCCTCTTTCCTTGATATAATTTTAAACATATATAATGATCACTCACCTGCTTTTTGCTTCTTATGGAGGTGTTTTTGTGTTGATAGTTTTTTAATTTGGTGTTCCTGTGGCAGGGGCAATTGCTGGAAGCTTCTCTTTGGCCATGTTGCTCTGCCTCCTCATTCACCATCTAATTTTTTTTTAATTGTTACCTTTTTGAACTCCTGACATTATATTATCTGAGAATCTCAGTGTCTGAGATTATTTGTTTTTGCTTCTCTAGTTTTGTCATAATGCATAATGGGAAAACTGGGAAATATTTCTTGATGGGCAATTAGGAATGTGCCATTCTATGCAAAACCTTAAAACTAGTTTTAATTATTTAAGCTAATAAACGTATCCCAAATCAAAGAGTAGGTCTTTTTGGAGTTTTCGTTTCCTGATTTAATATTTTCAATGCATTTAAACCAAACAAGAGACATTAGGTATTTTGATTTTAGAAGGTTTAAACACTTAATAACTAAACCTTATTAAATTGAGGGGCTTTAAATTCTTGCTCCTCTCCATGAAAACATATTCCATATAAGGTAGTTAATAAAGATAAATGGATTGTTTACTGAAGAAAAACAGAGCACTAACCATAGAGTACTGTAATTAAATTGCCAAACAAATAAAAATATTGAAATGCCAAGCAGTATTCCAAATTATTTGTTTTTAAATGTGCATATGATTTGGTAACAAGCAATATAGCCCCATGCTTAATAGCAATTGCATCCTTTTCTGTAAATTTTATGGAATATAAATTTAGGGTATAAAAAGACAAAACAGTAAAATAAATAAAAAATACACATTGTATAGGGGAATTGGAAGTTTGCTTTTGGTTAAGAACTTATTTATTAATGAGATGAACTAAAAACAAATTGAGATTTCAGGAGTGGGAATAGGCATATTTAGAAAAATTTTTCAAATTAAGAGTTTTTTCTTTTTTTAATGGCTTATCTATTTTTTTAATTCATGATTAACTTTCTCATTTATTTTAGTCTCCTCCATAAAATGTTTTGATAGAAACATTTTTTAATCTTTCAATTTATATAATTTTAAAATGCCTAGTCCAAACCTGTTCCATTTACTAAGATATGTAATTATATATGTGTTACACTAAAATATTGATTGCTATTTAATAACTGGCATACAAGAAAATTGCACAGAAACTACACAGGAGTTGCATTAAATACACTGGTTAGCATTCCTTACCATGTCGTATATGCCTGTTTGACAGTAGGAGTAGTCTATTCCAATAGTGGTGATTCTTAAAATTTGTTATATTTTAAGCTTGAAAAAACACTTCTAGAATAATAGCATTTGAATATACACTCCAGGCTCAAACAACCCAAAATCATGACTAATATATCAAACAACATTTTTCTTTTTCTTTTTTTTTTTTTTGAGACGGAGTCTCGCTCTGTTGCCCAGGCTGCAATGCAGTGGCATGGTCTCAGCTCACTGCAAGCTCTGCCTCCCGGGTTCACGCCATTCTCCTGCCTCAGTCTCCTGAGTAGCTGGGACTGCAGGCGCCCGCCACCACGCCCGGCTAATTTTTTGTATTTTTAGTAGAGACGGGGGTTACACCGTGTTAGCAAGGATAGTCTCGATCTCCTGACATCGTGATCCGCCCGCCTCGGCCTCCCAAAGTGCTAGAATTACAGGTGTGAGCCACCGCGCCCGGCCCAAACAACATTTTTCAAAGCATTGAAGATATACAATTAAGGGCAGTTCTTCCTATAGATAGAAACAAACAAGGTGAGCTTTACTAATGACATGGTATCCTGTCTATAAAGAATTTCCTGCCTGGGTGCCTATAATCCCAGCTACTGGGGAGGCTGGTACAGGGGAATCACTTGAACCCAGGAGTCAGAGGTTGCAGTGAGCCGAAATAGTGCCGTTGCACTCCAGCCTGGGCGACAAGAGTGAAACTACATCTCAAGAAAAAAACAAAAAAAGAAGAAGAAGAAGAATTTTCTGCCTGTCTGGCAGTGAGAAGAAACCCAGGCAAGCACAGCACTCCCAATGAGTTGAGGAGAGGGGGTTGAGAGTCCATAGGACGAGAGGGTAGAGTTCACAGCCAGTATGCCCAGAGGAGGAAGCTGCACAGAAAAAGCAGTCTGCAGATGTGCAGCGGTCCCCCCGAGTCTTCAGCTGAGTCCTGATCGGTGCCTATGTATGAGGAAACTACCTAACACGTTTTCAGAACTCACAGGGAGCTAAGTATAGTTCCTAGCTCCACAGGCAGAGTGGAAAACCTCCTGATTCACAGGTTATTTGGTAGAGTTCTCAGAGGGGATTTGCTCAACCACTGGGGAAACGTAGACCCAGAATACATGCTGTTCTGGTCCTGCTTAACAAAACCTTAAAGTAAGACAGGAAATCACGCTGTTTTAGGTAATTTGACTGTTCCAATAACAAAGCTCAACAGTATTTATAGAAATGCAAAGGTACAGACATGACAAGGGAAGTATCACCTGTTTGTGTCTATTCAAACACGACCAGGTATACAAAAAAGCATGGAAATATGACCCACGGTAGAGGGGAAAAATCACCCAATCAAAACTAGCCCCAAAACACAGATTGCAGAATTAGTAACAATAACACTGAAACAGTTGTTATGACTGTATTCCATATGCACAAGAAGCTAGAGGAAATGAGAGTCTGTTAAGTAAAACATGGAAATATAAAAAGATGCAATTTGAATTTGAGAGATAAAAACTACAGTATCTGATATGTAATAGAACTGGTGAAATTAACAGAAGATTAGAAATTGCAGAATAAAAGATTAAGAGACTTGACAGTAGACATAGAAATTATCCAAATTCAGAAAAGAAAAAGGGCTTTAAAATAAATAGTGCATCATTGAGCTGTGAAACAAATTTTGAGCAGTTTACTATAAATATAATTGGAATCTCAGAGAGAAGGGGCAGGACAAAAGTTAGAAATGATACTATTAGAAAAAATAATAGTAAAAAATTTTTCCAAATTTGATGAAAGCTAAATCCACAGATCCAAGAAGCTAAGTGAAGCCTAAATATAGTGATGACAAAAATTATTTGAAGACACATTATAGTCAAGTTGCTTAAAACCAGGGGTAAATAAATACATAAAAAAGCAGAGAAAAACCAAACAGTGCATACATAAATATGAATAAGGTAGACTTCTCAGAGGAAATAAGACAAGTCAAAAGTTAGTGAAGCAGTATGTCTAAAACAAAGGAAGAAAAATTTAAAGGAAAATTTTCAAGGAGAAGTAAAATGACACCAAATTGAAATCTGGTTATACACAATGGATTAAAGAGTTTAAAGGGGTAATTATATGGATAAATGTATAAGTTTTTCTTATTATGTAAAAATTTCCTAATGATAAGTGCCTCTTTAAATAAAAAACAGTAATATTCAATTGCAAGTTTTATAATATATATGACATTAATGACAAAATGGATAGTAGAAAAAAATGAAAATATAGTTCTGTAAGATTCTTATACTATGCACAAAGTGGTATCATATCATTTGAAAATAGATTATAATAAAAATTTGTAATGTAAGAAAAAGGAAATTGAAAGCAGACAATCAAAAACACAAAGAATTATAGCGAATAAGTCAAACAATAAAGAAAAAACAGAACCATAAAATACACTAAATCTAAAATAATGCATTAAAAAGTAAAAAAGTAGAGCAGGAACAAATAGGACAAATAGAAAACAGCAAATGACAAATTAATAACCAACCATAACAATAGTTATATTAAATTATCTAAACTGTTTAATTAATAGGCAATGATCATCAAAACTGATAAAGAAACCAGACCCAAGATAACTCAGCAACTCAATTAAAAATAGGCAAAAGATTTGAGCAGATAATAGTTTTCTGTTTATTAAGGAAGAATATGTTACAAATAAGAATTTGAAACGTTGAACGTTATCATAAAAAATTGCAAATTAGGTCGGAAGCCCTGGCTCATGTCTGTAATCCTAGCACTTTGGGAGCATAGATGGTATATATAAAGTACTATTGAAAGTAATTCAACATATATGTGCTGATACACATTATTACTGTCTCTCTCTCTCCTCTCTCTCTGTGTGTGTGTGTGTGTGTGTGTATGCAAAGTGACAGAACGGAAGAAAGAAGCTAGACTGCAGTGTTTACCACTGCAGAAGAGCATGTGTATTCAGAAGGAAGAGAGGAATATACTGTTACTTTGTTAGAAGTTTTGTGCCTACTTTTTTTTTCTTTTTGAAACAGAGTCTCGCTCTATTGCCCAGGCTGGAGTGCAGTGGCAGGATCTCGGCTCACTGCCTCCCTGGTTCAAGCAATTCTCCTGCCTCAGCCTCCTGAGTAGCTGAGACTGCAGGTGTGTGCCACCACGCCCAGCTAATTTTTGTATTTTTAGTAGAGACGGGATTTCACCAACCGAACTCGTGACCTGTGATCCACCCGCCTCGACCTCCCAAAGTGCTGGGATTACAGGCGTGAGCCACCGTGCCTGGCTGTGCCCACTTTTTAATAATTTTTAAATGTATGGTTTGTAGAGAAAGAGTGGTGCAAATACTGGGAGAAATGAAGAAATAAATGTGTCATGGTTGCAAAAATTAGAAAAATCATCTTTCTAAAGTCCATTGTTCAAAGAAACAGCAACTATTGCCTTTGTTCTTATCTTCATGTACAGGTAAGCATCGCTCGTGTTCTGCTCTTGCACCCTGATCTACCTCCCCTTCCTTACCCTAGAGCACCCCCATGCTGGTAAGATATGTGGAGATGAAAATGGTAACAAAAGTAGATCTATATGAGGCCGTTATATGTAATCTCTAGGGAGATGCATCTCAAACTTTGTAATTTATTTCATATTATCAACATATCATTAAGAATATTTTGAATAATATTTCTTACGGTTTCTGAAACCTGTTTTTTTTTTTTTTTTTTTTTTTTTCAGACAGAGTCTCGCTCTGTTGCCAGGCTGGAGTGCAATGGTGAGATCTCAGCTCACTTCACCCTCCGTCTCCCAGGTTCAAGCAATTCTCCTGCCTCAGCCTCCCGAGTAGCTGGGACTACAGGTACGTGCCACCACGCCAGGCTTATTTTCGTAATTTTAGTAGAGACAGGGGTTTCACCATTTTGGCCAGGCTGGTCTTGAACTCCTGACCTCAAGTGATCCGCCCACCTTGGCCTCCCAAAGGGCCAGGGTCACAAGCGTGAGCCACCGTGCCTGGCCTGAAATCTTTAGTATTGTTCTAAATGGTTGAATAAGCTAAGCCTAGAGCACAATACACATCTTCTCCCTTCTCCTGGGCTCACTTTCCTAGAGGGTTGTTTCTTTGTTTCATTTTGTTGCATTTTAAAATAAGTTAAACATTTAAGACTTAAAAAAAAAATTTGGTTGTTGTCATAGAAAATAGTCAACAGATGGTCAATAGGTGGTCACAAAAATATGAGCTATTCCTTGCCAAGATTTCTCTTTGGAGTTGTGTGACGCACCTAGAGGACCACTCTTGGGGGTCTGGTGTGCTGGTCTTTATAGGAAGGGGTTGGTGCCACCTGTTGGCCATGGCCAGCATGAAGCAAGTCAGCACTGTCTTGGTCAGCCCAGAGCAAGGATGTTCTTGTCTAACCCTTCAAGATAGCTCTTTAATTTGAACATTCTTAGTAATGCCTTATGAAAAAGTTATTTTTATTTTAAACATATACATTTTTAAAAACTGACTTGGTCTGTATTTTTTTTACTTTATCCTGTATCCAAAAGACTTTCTGTGAGAGTATGTATCACTCAAAGTATAATGTAGACCAAGGCAACATTATGATTTGATTTACCAAATAGGGGTTTTGCATGACCTTTTAAAGAAATACTCAGCATAAAATGTATTTTGTATCTTTAAGATATTAGGCTTACTTTATTAACACTGAATCACACATGTTGACAGTTGTGGAAATTGATCTAAAAAACTGTATTTTAAAATTACTATCTGGTTGATCATTCTTTTTGCTATTTTTGTTGCCTCAAGTTCATTCAGATTTTTCTGTTTGTTAATTTTCATGCTCTTGTTTAAGCACAATAATTTTTGAAAATCATGTTGCTGATTCCATGAAGAAACGAGTGTTTAGTTTAAAATATCATGAGGGAAGTTTTATGGTCTAAAATATCTTAGACTAGATAAAGAAAAACTGGATTCCTTAATGTAACTTAAATTCATTGTTTAATGGCTGCAATAAATCCTGGTGCATTTTTTCCCTCTGCAAAAGAAGAAAAATAATCATTTAATAGTTAACAAAATTTCTCAATTTACAGTTGAGGTTAAAAGTATTCATTTTGATGTTTTTGAAACATCAACCACTTTATCATACAAAATAGCTGTGAAGAAACTTTTTCAGCACTAATTCACTTAATAAGAAATATCAGAACTTTCAACTTAGCAACTTTTAAGTAAAAATGCATAATGATTTTTTTGTATTGTTTCACACAAAACCAAATGCATAAACTAGCTAGCTTTTTCAGCTTTACATGTTTAAAGCTCATTTTTTGTGTGTGTGGGAAAACCAGCTTTTTAAGTTGAAGTTATATGAGAGGATGAAGTAAGTGCATGAATAAAGACAATGTTATAAAAATGTATTTTACTTTTTCAAAGTCTTTGATAGGTTTCTACACAGAAGACTGCAATGCATAATAATGTATCACATGATTGAGAAAAAAGAAAACATTTTCCCTATTTTTAGAACTAGCCTGTAAATTAAAATAAACAGACCAGAATAAATAAGGATGATTTGGAAAGAGAGAGAGAGAGACATAAATAGCGATGTGTCATCTTTTGTCATATGTATTGGAAAAGGGAGTACAGGAAATGGTTTAGTTGATCCATGTTCTTCTCAGTACCTAAATGCAGGGCTAACAAGGGTGATCATCTGCAGGACAAAATGAGGGTTAGTGTGAACGAGTGGACAGGTTTGCATTGCATTCTAAACAATGCTTACAGGATAATGGACTCTGAGCTATCGGTAATGACCCAGGAAAGACATCATGTAAATAGAAGTCTGGGCAAGAAAGGCTTTTAAATAATAAATAACAATGAGGATTATGTTAGAGTTCTTTTGTTTGAATAAGATTTATTATGTAGTGAGGAAACGGAATTTTTGCACTTTAAGTTTGGGTAATGTAAAGGGGGAGATGTTAACAGTATACAGGCTTCCAATAATTAGATTAATTTTAGGGATATTCTAGAGATCTCTTGTTGTTTCTCATTTCTCTGTCATATTCTATTTATACATCTATTATCTGTCTACCTATCTCTATCTACCCATCTCTTTTGCTTATTGAAAATTGTATAGAATCTATCATGTAAGTTCAGAAAATAATTTTTAAAGTATTCAGTATTGAATTATTTAAACTTAGAGCATGGTCCCAAACCCCAGGCTGGAGATCCGTACTGGTCCATTGCCTGTCAGGAAAAGGGCCTCACAGCAGGAGGTGAGCGTTACCTCCTGAGCTCCGCCTCCTGGCAGATAAGCAGCGGCGTTAGATTCTGATAGGAACAGGAGCCCTGTTGTGAACTGCGCATGTCAGAAATCTAGGTTGCCTGCTCCATATGAGACTGTAAAGCCTGGTGATCTGAGATGGAACAGTATCATCCCCAAACCATCTCTCCCCACCCTCCACCCTCACTTAGAGGACTGTATTTTGGAATCGAAGTCATATTTGACATATAATAGTGCCTGGATACTCAACCCTATGAGATAGGTCAGATACTACTATTTCCTTACAAACAAGGAAATACGAATTGTAAAATGCCTACAACTCCTTGAAATAATTGGTGTGAGGAAGTGTAATCATTCCCCTAAAACATGACCACTGTTTTTTCAACATTTTATTTTCTTCTAATAATTAATCCTATAGTTGGGCAACAATTTGGTTGGCCTTGAGTTTATCAATCAGCCTTAAAATTGTTTAGTTTACGTATTTACTCATTCAATCCGTCGTTTATTCAAAAGAACACAGTACAGTCAAAAATGTGAGCGGTGATAAAGTGGCAGATATTAGCAGACAACTTAGTTGTTTTCTTTAAGGGACTGACAGTTGTTTCAAAGATTCTAACATCTTATGGAAATGATGCTTTTTATTATTTGAATGTGCTAATATAAATAACTTTAAAATAATCAAAATCATATTGTAATACAATGTTTTGTAGGTCTGGAGTGAGTCTACTGAAGTTCAAATCTCAGTTCTCCCACCGTCTTGTTGTCTACTCCTAGTCAAGTAATTTGTCCCTCAGTGACTTTACCTTTAAGAGAAAGTGATAATAAAAATACCTACCTCATAAGATTATTGAGAGGATCAAATTGGTTAATTCATGTTAAGAGCCTAGAAGAGTGCCTGGCAAATAGTTAGAATTTGATAATCATCTCATAGTATTACATGTACATGAATCACTCTTTTATATGCTACCCCACTTGTCCCTAATACTGGTCATATCACATGTTAATCTATACTTTACATATATATACTTTAAAGTTTAAATTGTACATGTATAATCTGGAGAAAACACCTATTCACAACTGTGTCATATGTCCTTATTGAATTAGTAGACTTCTTTCCACATAAACTAAACTTTCTGTGATCTCCATAGGCAGCTTTTGGAGATGTGATAAGAGGATGAGTTGCAATGAAGTGTATCCATTAGTTAAGTTTGCTTTATTTCGAGAATGATATGAAACTCACATGGTCGTAGTTTATCTCCTCCTGATCAACACATCTAATTAATACTTGTGTATGTGATTAAGAAAAATGAAAAAAGTAAATATACATTAAAGTTGAGTCTGTCATCTAAAAGTTTCAAGTGTATAGGCAAAACAAATATTAAATGTGGATGCTGTATTTTGGGAAACTTATCTATTACTTTCCTTATAGTTGCCAAGGAGGTAAATACATAGAAATCATTGGAGATTTAAGTCTCCCTTAAATAAAGCCTCAGGAGAATATATTAAGCAAAATGACCTATTGCTTATTAATATTTACTCAATTGCTTTGCTGCTTTGAGTTTATTGGTTTGAATTCCAGGCTTATCATTTACTCATCTTTCAATGGAACTACTGAAGTGGCCTCCCCTAACGGGTCTCCTAGCTTCCCCTAGTGACTTTTATAGTCCATTATCCACAAGGAAGTTATAGTGACTTATTTTTACCCCTTAAATAGACAATACCAAACCCTGCAGAAGAACATACCCATTCCTTCCTATTGCACTTAGAGCCTTAAATGTGAATGATCTAAAAAATTACCACAAACTAGGCGGCTTAAAACAACAGAAATGCATTCTCTAACAGTTCCGGAGGCCAGAAGTTCAAAATCCAGGTGTTGGCAGAGCCATTTTCTTTCCAGATAGTCTAGAGCATAATGTCTTCCTTGCCTTCTCTGGTTTCTGGTAACTACCAACACTCCTTGGTTTGAGGCCGCATCTCTCCAGTTGTCAATTTCATCATCATTAAATGTCTCTTGTTCCATCCTCACATTGCCATATTTTATGTTTCTGATGTTCCTCTACCTCTCTCTTACAAACACACTTGTGATGACATTTAGGATTAATCTTCTTTAGGGTTAATCCAGGGTTAATATCTCATCTCATGACCCTCAACTTAATCACATTCACAGGCTCCAGAGATTAAGATCTGATATCTTTGGGACTCACCAGTCAATCCACTACACCTGGCTTCTTCCACCCACCCAACTCCAGCTCATCTTATGCCAGTTTCACTCATCATCATAGCCACATTGGATGTCTTTCAGTATCTGTAAAAATGCTGGAGTTTCTCTCACCTCAAGTGGCCTCATTGATGCTATCCCATCACCAGGGCTTATTCTTTCACTCCCTGGTTCCTGGTTAAGGTCTGCTTAGTCCTAGGACACATGGTAAACCTTACCTTCCTGTAGATATTGTCTTGTGTGTCACAGTTTAAATAGATCCTGTTATGCCCCTTCACAGAATCCTGTTATTTTTGTTCATATCACTTATAATAGTGTTTAACTAGGAAATCATTTCTGTCATTATGTAATAATTTCTGTATTCTCCATGATAGTAGATGCTTCATGAGGACAAAAGAGATGTCTCTTTTGCTCACAAATGTAGGCCTACCATCATTTACAGTGTGTGTAACTCAACAAATATCTCTTTTTAAATTCAGACAATCTCTGTAATAATTATGCATTTATTTGACAAATATAAATATAAATGTTCCAGACACAGTTCTAGTACATAATTATATTTTGTTCTATTTAACAAGTAGTACACTCTTTAATTTACTTTAACTTTTTATATAACAAAAATGCTTTAGTGACAATTATAAAGTTTTAAAATGACATTTTAATGTATATTATTTTGGAGTCTGATTTTCAAAATATGCATATGTAAAGTAATTTAGCTAGGCCACCATATCTAGGCCAAAAAATGGCCTTTCACCTAAATTCTTCATCTTGAATTTTTTATTAAAAATAAATTCATTTATCTTGCTCTTACATTTTATTTCAAATCAGCAGGCTGAGCAAAGTGTTCAAGATAATATTTGAAATGTATCAATAAAAATAATACATTTATAAACTATAAATTGTATTTATTACAAATTAATAAAAAAGTACCAAATATGATTCACACTAGTTTTTTCTTTTTAAAACTTTTATTTTTATTACCAGAGACATTCTAATATACTATCTAAAATCTTTGATCAGCAAAGTGCAGCTTGTAGTTGTGATGAGCATCTTAAAGTTAATTCATTAGCTTATACCTTTAACTTACTCTTTAACGTATGTGTATAATAATAGTCTGGAAAAAATAAACTTTATAAAAATCAAAGCCACCACAATAGCTAATGAAATTCCAGAGTGATAACTAATCTGCTCAGTAATGGTGATCATTGGAACCATAAGTATACTCATTTGAAACATACTCATAAGTTCTTGTATTGTTCCCTTTTGAAGAGTGAAAATATTTAAATATAATTTATCCTTAGATTTTTAATACAAAATAAAATTGAAACACATTTTTTCCTGTATCTAATGATGCAATTACCTGTTAGGAGATAAAATTCTCTACGCGACCTGAGCATTATTTTGTGTTCTTGTTCGGCATGTCAAGAATGCAAGGCTCCGAGAGCTTCTTACTTGGGCCATTTACCAGGATCACATTTGCAGTGAGAATCCTTGAGGGATGAAGTAACCTTTCTTGGACAAAGAGTAAGCTTGCTTCTGTTAACTATAAATCCCCTAGCTCAGTGTTCCCTTCTGTACCTCAACTCACCGTGTCTATAGGCATCCATCTAGGCTTTGTGAATTACTCTTCCCCAAGTGGGAACATGAGAATGGGAAATAAACAACAAATTGAAGCTGTGGACAGGGTTATTGCTGTGAGTAGTAATGCGTCTTCTTTCTGACCCAATAATCTCATGTCCTCTGCCTGTACTCATGGAATAACAGAATGGCTTATGAGCTTTAAGGGGGTAAAATTCCAGGCCCTTCACAGTTTTTGACATCACCCTAAAACCCTTTTGTGAAACAGAGCACTGATGAGCAACTGGCAAACAACAGATTCTCACTATTTATTTTCAGCCACTAAACAAATATTTTGAACAGTAGCATTGCCTACAACATCATCCACTTTAAATTAAAATTCTAACTTTATTGCTTCTACTGTTGGGAGCAGGCCCCCCAAAATCTGGCCATAAACTGGCCCCAAACCTGGCCATAAACAAAATCTCTGCAGCACTGTAACATGTTCATAATGGCCCTAAGGCCCACGCTGGAAGGTTGTGGGTTTACCAGAATGAGGACAAGGAACACCTGGCCCGCCCAGGGTGGAAAACTGCTTAAAGGCATTCTTAAGCCACAAACAATAGCATGAGCTATCTGTGCCTTAAGGACGTGCTCCTGCTGCAGTTAACTAGCCCAACCTATTCCTTTAATTCAGCCCATCCCTTCATTTCCCATAAGGGATACTTTTAGTTAATTTAATATCTATAGAAACAATGCTAATGACTGGTTTGCTCTTGATAAATACATGGGTAAATCTCCGTTCGGGGTTCTCAGCTCTGAAGGCTGTGAGACCCCTGATTTCCCACTTCACACCTCTATATTTGTGTGTGTGTGTCTTTAATTCCTCTAGCACCGCTGGGTTAGGGTCTCCCAGACCGAGCTGGTCTTGGCATCTACTTAAAACTCTTGACTTCTCAGTGATTCTTACTGAAATCTAAACCCCTTTTGATTTACTTTAGATTATTGAGGTTTAGAAATACTCAATACTACACATTACTTAAGTGGAACTCTTCTGTATGCTTTCCAGACCTCATCCTATTTTGCTCTTTTCTTCCTTTTCTATCGTCATCTCCCTGCTGGGATGTCATCCTCACTTTCCTCTTTGGTGAATTACTTCATATCCTTTAAAAACTTCGGTTCATTCTTACTGAAAAAACTCCCTGACTCGCATGGACATTCTTCTTTCTCCAGCCCATTCTCCAGCTTTCACATGTATTTTATTTTCTGAAAATATATTATCAAAAGCATAATCATTTCTTCAGCAGTTCAGGTACTTGAAAAGTCGCTGAGGTTTGTCATCCTCTCTTCTTCACTGTGGACTCACTTCAAATATAACTATCAAGGCCAGCCTCTTAGTGACTTGCAACTGCAGATTTTCTCTTACTCCCAATATATGGGAGCTGAGGATTGACTATAGCAGCTGTGTTTATGTCTCTGTCATTCTAGGACGCAGGTCAAAGAAGCAACCCCAGCCTGGGACTTGCTTATCTTGTGGAAGAGAAAAAGAACAGGAAATCGAAAAGATAATTCCTCAAGCTTTATTGGGAACTGATTCATTGTGCCTTCTGCCCACACTGGTCAAAACACATATATGAACAAATCTGACATCAGTGGAGCTGAGAAATATGCATTCTACAGAAAGTTGCCCCAAGTCAAAAAAAAAGTGAGAGGTTGTCATTCTACAGGAAGGTGGTAGCAAAGTCAATTACAGTCTATTAAGAACAATAGCATCCCTCTTTCCTTTGTTTGAAGAGAAATTAAGTCTATGTGTGACTGTTTTGCTGAGGTGCAGCCCATTACAGCCTATGTTCAGATAGGTACGAGGTTCCAGTGGCTTTAAGTTTCCCGTTAATTTACTTCAGCCCCCAGGAACTTTTTTTTTTTTGACTCCATCTTCAAACCTGGCAGTCTGATATTGTTTCATGGATTTCTATTCCCTGTATCTACTAAGACTTTCTGTAGAAGATGATACACTCACTCCATCTGCCTTCTCTTTGTAGTTTTTACCACAATAAGAAGACAAGCCTGTCTCTTTTTCCCTGCTAAACATAAGAGGAAAGAGTCAGAGACGTTACAACAATGGACAACCTTGGAAAATAGCTAACGCTAAATGAGCCACATTTTCCCTTTGGTAGCAGCTATCTAGAAGTGTTCAAGCTATCTTTCAGAATAACAGATGCCCTAATCTCTTCTTCTCACCCCACCTATCTTCCTTCCAAATGTTTTTTCTAAGACATTAGGCAGAGTTGAATTTACCACAAAGCTAATAAAACATGAATTTTATGACCCTCACTTGCATGGGCTCCTTCCTAGGCCCTGGGAAAGACTGTAGCAATATATTCAGATGGTCATATTGCTATGGTCTGAACTGTGCCACCCAAAAGTTCACGTTGAAGTCTTAACTCCAGTGCAACTGTATTTGGAAATAGGGTCTATAAGCAGATAATTAAGGTTAAACAAGGTCATAATGGTGGGGTCCTGTGGATAGGATTAATGCCCAAGTAAAAAGAATAAGAGACAGGGAATCTGCCCCCAACGCCCCACCCTACCACCAAATGAAGTTAAAGCAAGAAGGCAGTTGTCTGCAAGCCAGGAAGAGAGCCCTTAACAGAAACTGACCAAGCTGGCACACTGACCTCAATCTCAGATTTCCAGCCTCCAGAACTGTGAGAAACAAATTTCTTTTGTTTAAGCCACCCAGTCTACAATACTTTATTATGGCAGCCCAGACTGATTAAGATGTGTTCTGCAGATGTTGAGGTATTTTAACTGCATTTAAAAATAAATACAACTTTCTTATTCTACTCCAGCTGCCTTTCCATCATATTCTTTCTTGTGTCTGATGATGTTGAGGTAGCTATGATCATTTTGAGGGCATTACTGAAAGGAGACTGAGCTGGGGATGGATGTAGTTTGGTTTTGTTGTAGTGAGATACTAAAGTATATAACACATGTTAAAATCAGTTCCATGTCTAATGAATTTTTGACTACAGGAAATTAGCTACATAGAAAAGCCATTGTGTGGTTCTCCCAGAAGAAGAGATATAGATTTAGATTTAGAAATAAACATGCTCTGTGTTACCCAGGCATTAAATATGTGATCAGTGAAACAGAAACAAGGTTTGAAACGTGTAGAGCCAGAGCTTTTCTATAAAAAATTCTTCCTTTCATCCAGTTTATAAAATGTGTAACTTCTCACAGTTTATAAAATAGTAGATGGCGGATGTATTAGTCCATTCTTATGTTGCTGTGAAGAAATACCAAAGACTGGGTAACTTATAAAGACAGAGGTTTAGTTGACTTACAGTCCCACATGGCTGGGGAAGCCTCAGGAAACTTATAATCATGGCAGCAGGCACATCTTCACAGGGCAGCAGGAGAGAGAATGAGTGCCAACAGGGAAAATGCCAGGCGCTTATAAAACCATCAAATCTCGTGAGAACTCACTCACTATCATGAGAACAGCGTGGGGGAAAACACCCCATTGATTCAATTACCTCCCACCAGGTCCCTCCCATGACATGTGGGGATTATGGGAATTATAATTGAAGATGAGATGTGGGTGGGGACACAGCCAATCCATATCAGAGGATTTGGTTTGCATTAATTTCTAGTCTAAGTGGAAGCTCTGCCCTAGTCAAAATACACTCAGTAATACAGTATACAATTATAAGGAGCCAGTAGTTGTGGCTGGTACCTGTAGTCCCAGCTACTTTAGAGGTGGAGGTGGCAGAATCGATCGAGCTCAGGATCCAGGCTGCAGTGAGCTATGATTACCCCCTTGTACTCCAGCCTGATAGATATAGAAAGACTCTGACTCATAACAATAATAAATATTAATTATAACATTCTAATTTCTGTTTGGTAGGAATCACATAAAATAGAATTTATCAAAATTCCTGGAATGTAGAAAAACAAAACCGTAATAACACTACTATAAACATTGCATATATCTGTGTGAGAAGTCATACATTTAGTGAATCCCAACTATCCTTAATTTTTAAAAAATAAAATTGTGATAGAGGAAAGAGCAAATTATTGCTATATTCTCTAAACAGAAAAAAACAAAAATTGTTATATGAAGAGACAGAGTAGAAAAATTTTTGGAGAAAGTATTATAAAAGAATGTCAGGTTCTAATATAAATACATTTTCTGGATTTGGGGACATTTGTGTAATTTAATATATATAAACTATAATTTTGATTAGCCTCTAATTTAAATAAATATTTATACTTTCACATTTATTTTTGTATTTTTATTTTTTATATAATTTTCCTTAAAGAGCTCCCCTATTGTATAAGTGTGAGGCTCCACAAAACCTGGATCCATCCCTAGGTATAGGTCTTTTTCAACCATAGGCTTGCAAAATTGAGGAAGTATAAGAGTACAAACCAGTAGATCAGAGGTCCCAAACACACATGGCCAGTTGTGGTAGGAGCTACAAAGAACTGTAGAAAATAAGTGAGCACAATATGACCTGTACCTGTGAGGCAGCAGGTACTGATTACTGACAGAGTGCTGTCAATCCAAAAAGACACAAGTGGGTGTGCCACCTGTCCCAGTAGGTAATTTCTCTACCAGGAGACTTCAGAATACTTCCTCAGAAATAGCCTACTACTGGCAGAGCTCCAATCTCAAGAAAGAACACATCGAAGCACATTTATTCATGGAACTCAAAGGATTCTATCTGGAGGCCAGTGAATTTGAGAAGTTATATAACACAGTGGTAAAAGCATGGACTCTGCTGCTTGACTGTTGGATTTGAATTCACCCAGTCCCATTACTTACTAGGTGTGTAACCTTGGGCAAATAATTAAATCTCTCTGTGTTCAATTTCTTCACCTCTTAAAAGGTGGTAATGATAATATCCAACTTCATACTTTGAGGATGAAGCAAATTAGAGCTAAGTGATTAGACCAAGTGTGTCACATCATGAGTATTACAAAAATGTTACCTGTTTTTTCTCCTCTTTGGTCAATGTTTAGCCATTTTAGAGTAAGTATTAAATTCATACTACACTTGATTTTAGCCAATAGGCAAGAAGTGCTAAGTATTAATTGATTTCATGTTGACTGTACCTTGGTCCATACATTTAATTCAGTGCGTATACAATTTCTGATGAAAAGATGGCCTTCATCTTAAAAGGCAATGCTGTGCCATGGTGTTTTTATCAGACACTGAGTTCTTGAAAGTCTGTAAAATACTAGAAGCTAACTGACATTCCTGGAGATTCTTACTCACTAGTATCTAGAGTGCTGATTAGGAGTAGATTTAAAAAAAAAGATCCTCTGATATTCTATTGTGTCTACTAAATTTGCAGCTGTTCTATTTCTAAATGTCCTGTAGAAGCATCTCTCACAGCAAGATCAAGCTCATATACCAAGGGCTAGATCCAGTTATTTTTTTATCTCTCCTTAAAATAAGAGTCTGTGTGTTTTTTCAGTTTAATTTTGCAGGTCTCTGATAAAATAAATTACTTTCAGAAAACTAAAACAAGGAAAAAGAAAAAAACCCTTGCCTCCCAAAACCTCAGGCTCCTTCATATGGAGGGAGATTCCAATCAAGGAACTTTGAACAAGTCTCACAGTTAAATCTTGGGAAACTTCTCCATCCTTTCTTTTAATAGCCATCAGATGGCAAATGCTGAGCTTCTCCAAAAACCTGAAGAAAACTTCTTTTCATCCAGGATTCCCAAAGTTTCCCTATTCTTGAGAAGACCCCACACTTTGGGAAATGATCCAGGCTTTTGCATGTGATCATGTCTCGATTGAAAGTGTCATCCATCCCAAGGTACCAAGCACTGAAAATAGAGTGGACTGCAGAGATGAAAGCCACCATTCTAGTCTGCAAGTTGTTAATGGTTTAGTAACAAAATAAGCCCATTTTGAACCAGCAAACCCTCTAACAGGGGTAGTCAGACACCCTATACTGGCATCAGGTTTGTTCCCCTTGAGGTCAGAGATCTCAGAAAAAGAAGCAGGCACCCATCTTTGCTGTTCTGCAGCCTCCCTGAGTGACATCTCCAGGCGCAGGAGTGAACCAGATGAATAGGGCCTGAAGTGAACTAGCAAACCACAGCAGCCCTACAGAAGAGGGGCCTGACGATTGAAAGAAAAACAAACAGAACGCAACAACAACAGCATCATCAACAACAATAAAGACCCCACAAAAACCCCATCCAAGGGTTAGCACCCTCAACGTGAGTAAATAAATTGTATGTGAACAAATTACTAAGTCTTTCAATGTCTCCACTTCCTTATTTTATAGTCAGGCCAATAGCAAAATGAATCTCATATAACCTCAGGTGGAAACATTAAGGTGATAAATGGAAGGGACTTTAGCACAGTGTCCTGTTTACAGTCATCTTGAAACAAAATTGCTAACTTTTGTTATGGGTTGGTATTCTAACATTAACCATGGAGATGTACCTCATTTAGCTATTAGTGTTCACTTCTACACTATAGCACTTAAAATTAGAATAATTAAAACATCTTCTGATAACTCTTTTTTCACATCACAAACTTTGTTGGCACAATAGAAATCTTTGTGCTTCAGTGAAATACCATCTCACATGGTTCAGAAGGTCTACTATTAAACAGTCAAAGAGAATACATGCTGGAAAGGCTGCTGAGAAAAGGGAACACTTATACACTGTTGATGGGAATGTGAATTAGCTCACCCTCTGTGGAAAGCAGGTTGGAGATTTCTCAAATAACTTGAAACAGATCTACCGTTCAACCCAGCAATGCCTTTAGTGGTTATGTACCCAGAAGAAAATAAATCATTCTACCAAAAAGACATATGCTGTCATATTTTCATCACAGCACTATTCTCAGTAACAAAGACATGGAATAAACCTAGGTGCCCATCAGTGGTGAGTTGCATAAAGAAAATGTGGTACATATACACCATGGAATATTATACACCCATACAAAGAACAAAATCTTGTCCTTTGCAGCAACATGAATGCAGCTGGAGGCCATTACCCCAAGCGAATTAACTCAGGAACAGAAAACCAAATGCGGCATGTTCTCACAAGTAGGAGCTAAACATTCAATACACATGGGCAAAGAGGAGAACAATAACAGTGGAGACAACAAGAAGAGGAAGAGTGGGAGGGGAACAAAAACTGAAAAACAACTGGTTGGGTACTATGTTACTTGAGTGGCAGGATCATTTGTACCCCAAATCTCAGCATCATGCACTATACCTATGTAACAAATTTGCACATGCGCATCCTGAATCTAATATAAAAGTTGAAATTTAAAAATAAATTTTTATGCTAAGCATTTCACTTCATTATGGCTTAAGTAAATTAGGAGGCAAGGCCAAGATGGTCAATCAGAAACAGCTACTTTTGGAGGCTCACATTGAAAAGAACCATAATAAGAATGTGAATCCTTCACCAGGAACCAAGGTGTCCAGATTCTCTCATCAGAACTGACTAGGAGGCTGGTGAGATCATTGGAGATGAAGGAAGAACAGTGCTGTGTGGCAGCCCACCTGAAAGCCACACAGGGCAGGGGAGCCTTCTCCCCCGAGCCAAGGGAGGCAGTGAGTAAGCATGCTACCCAGCTGGAGAAATCATGCTTTTTCCACGGAACTGTACAACCCACGGATCGGAAGATCCCACTCACTAACCTGTGCCAATGGGGCCTAGCATCCCAACCCCAGAGCCTTGCAGATTCTCAACAGCCTCTCAGCTGGAATCTGCTTAAGCCTACCAAGCTCCCGGGAGGAGGAGTGACCACCACCTACTGTGACTGCCTGCTGTCTAAGCCCTTTGAGCTCCTTGTGGGAGGGGCAGCAGCCAGCACTGGGACTCAAAACTGCCTAACACTCTAAGCTCCTTGGATAGGGGAAAGGTGGCATCCATATCTATAGATCCAAGCTCCACTTTTCCCCTGCTGGAGCCAGGGAGGCTGGACGTCCTGGTTCCAACAGGTGTCCCCCATAGCCCAACACACCCGCTGTGGCCCACTGCAACCAGAGTGACTCTTCAGGACTGATCCTGACCCATCCTTCCTCATTGGGCGGGGCTTCCCTGCAGGAACTCCGATAATTCCAGCCAGAGGTTCAGGGGCAGAACCTGGATCTCCTTGGCCCTGAACCTCTAGGGGGAAGCATGGCCACAGCCTCTGCAGACCAGCAGACTTAGCCTTTCCCCATGGTAGTTCTGAGGAATCTGGGCAGCTCAGACAAGTGGAAGCACACCCCTTCCACCAAGGAACAGACAAAGCGCTTCCTTAAACGGGTCCTGTTCCCTGTGCCACCCAACTGGGTGAAACCCTCTAACGAGTGGTCAGACACCTATACAGGAGTGATCCTACTGGCATCAGGTTTGTTCCCCTTGAGGTCAGAGATCTCAGAGGAAGGAGCAGGCACCCATCTTTGCTGTTCTCCAGCCTCCCTGAGTGACATCTCCAGGCGCGGGAGTGAACCAGATGAATGGGGCCTGCAGTGAACTAGCAAACCACAGCAGCCCTTCAGAAGAGGGACCTGACCATTGAAAGAAAAACAAACAGAAAGCAACAACAACAGCATCATCAACAACAATAAAGCCCACACAAAAACCCCATCCAAGGGTTAGCATCCTCAAAGTCAAAACTAGACAAACTCACGAACATGAGAAAGAGTCAACTAAAATAACACTGAAAACCCCAAAAGCCGGAGTGCCTCTTCTCCAGCGTCTCTCCAGCAAGGGCACAGAACTGGATGGAGGATGAGGCAGATGAATTGATGGAAGTAGGTTTCAGAAGACGGGTAATAAAAACTACACTGAGCTAAAAGAGAATATTCTAACCAAATGCAAAGAAGCTAAGAACCTTGATAAGAGGTTGCAGGAGGTGCCAACTAGAATAATCAGTTTAGAGAGGAACATAAATGACCTGATGGAGCTGAAAAACACAGTGTGAGAACTCTGTGAAGCATACACAAATATCAATAGCTGAATCAACCAAGTGGAAGAAGGGCTATCAGAGTCTGAACACCAGCTTGCTGAAATAAGGCATGCAGACAAGACTAGATAAAAAATAATAAAAAGGTACGAACAAACCCTCCAAGAAATATGGGACTTCATAAAAAGACCAAACCTACAATTGACTGGAGTAACTGAAGGAGACAGGGAGAATGGAAACAAGCTGGAAAACACACTTCAGGATATTATCCAGGAGAACTACCAAATGGTCTATTGACCATTTTTATGTTTTAAGAAATGTCTATTCATGTCTTTTGCCCACTTTTTTATTTGTTTACTCTTGAGTTGTTTAAGTTTTTTGTATATTCTGGATACTAGACCCTTGTTGGTTGAATACTTTGCAAATATTTATTTCATTCAACAGGTTGTCTACTCCCACTGTTTATGGTTTCCTTTGCTGTGCAGAATTTGTTTTAGTTTAACATAGTCCCATTTGTCACTTTTTGTTTTTGTAGCATGTGCTTTTGAGGTCTTAACTAAAAATCCTTGCCTACCCCAATGTCATGAAGTGTTTCTTTCGTGTTTTCTTCTAGTTGTTTTATATTTTTAAGTCTGAAGTTAAGTATTTTATATATCTTAATTTTTTTTTTTTTATTTACGGAGTCTTGATTTATTGTCGAGGTTGGAGTGCAGTGGTGCAATCTCGGCTCACTGCAACCTCCGCCTCCTGGGTTTAAGAGATTTTTCTGCTTCAGCCTCCCTAGTAGCTGGGACTACAGGCAGGCACCACCATGTCCGGCTAATTTTTTTGTATTTTTAGCAGAGACAGGGTTTCACCATGTTGTTCAGGCTGGTCTTGAACTCCTGACCTCATGATCTGCCCACCTTGGCCTCCCAAAGTGCTGGGATTACAGGCGTGAGCCACCGTGCCCAGCTTATCTTGAGATTTTATAACATGATAAGAGCTAGGGTTCCAGTTTCATTCTTCTGCAAGTGGATATCAAATTTTTAGCACCATTATTGAGGAGACTGTCCTTTCCCAATGTATGTTGCTAGTGCCTTTGTCAAAATCAGTTGGCTGTAAATACATGAATTTATTTCTGTGTTCTCTATTGTGATCCACTGGTCTATGTGTCTGTTTCTAAAGCAAAACCATGCTATTTTCATTACCATGGCCTTAGAATATATTTTGATGCAACCAACTTTGCCTTTTCTTGCTCAGGGTTGTTTTAGCTAAGATCCTTGTTAGTTCCATATATATTTCAGGCTATTTTTTCTATATCAATGAAAAATGGTATTGTTATTTTGATAGGGTTTGCAGTGAATCTTTTAATTGCTTTAACCACTATCATCATTCTAACATTAATTCTTCTGATCCATGTGCATGGGACATCTTTCCATTTGCTTATGTCCCCTTCGATTTCTCTCATCATTGTTTTGTAGTTTTCCCTGTAGAGAGGTCTTTTATCTCTTTTGTCTAATCCATTTCTAGGTATCTTTTTTGTAGTTCTTATAAATGGTATTGGTTTTTTGACTTTTTATCAGCTCATTCATTATGGGTGTTTAAAAAAGCTACTGCTTTTTGCATGTTGATTTTATATTCCATATGTTTAATGGATATTCTGTATCTGAATGTATTTATTGGACCTAAACATTTTTGATGAAGTCTTTTCATTTTTCTAGATTTAAAATCATGTCTCCTGCAAAGAGGGATATTTTGCTTTCCTTTATACCAGTTTGGATGCTATTTCTTTTTTTCTTTTAACTCCTTGCTCTGGCTGGGACTTCTAAATACAGTGTTGAATAAAAGTGGTGGCAGCCGGCATCCTTGTCTTAGTCCATTTTTGGGGGGAAAGGGTGATGAAGGTTTGTCACGTATGTCCTTTATTATGTTGAGGTATGTTTCTTTAATACCTAGTTTGTTGAGACATTTTATCATATAGCACTGTGGAATTGTATCAAGTACTTTATTGCAACTATTGAGATGAGAATAAGGGTTTGTCCTTCATTCTGTTGATGTGATGTATCATGTTTATTGATTTGCTTATGTGGAATCATCCTTACATCCCTGGGTTAAATCCCACTTGATATGGTGTATTATCTTTTTGATGTGAAGTCGGATTCGATTTGCCAGTATTTTGTTGAAGTTATTTGCATCAATGTCCATCAAGGATATTGGTCTGTATTATGTTGTTATTATTGTTGTTGCATCCTTGTCTGGTTTTGGCATCAGAGAAATGCTGACCTCATAGAATGAATTAGGGAAAATTCCCTCCTCTTCGAGTTTCTTGAATAGTTTGAGAAGAATTGGTGTTTGTTCATTTTTGAAAGTCTGATACACTTTGGCATTGAAGCCTTTCTCTTCTGGACTTTTCTTTGTTTGGAAATGGTTACTGCTTCAATCTCATTACTCATTTTTGATCTCTTCTGACTTTCTATTTCTTCCTGATTCAACTTTGATAGGTTACACATGTCCAGGAATTTATCCATATCCTCTAGTTTCTGTTAAGCTTGTAAACATCTAGTTGTTAATAGGAGTCTCTGTTTATCTTTTGTAAGTCTGTGGTATCACTTGTAATATTTTCTTTTTCATTAATAATTTTGTTTATTTGGGTCTTCTCTCTTCCTTGCTTGGTTAGCCAAGCTGGCAGCATATTCATTCTGTTTATCTCTCTGTAGAATTGACTTTTCGTTTCATTGATCCTTTATATTTTTTTCTTTAGTCTCTATTTCCTTTAGTTCTGGCCCAATTTTTATTATTTCTTTTCTTCTGAGAATTTTTGATTTTTTTCTTGCTTTTCTTGTTCCTTGAGGTATATTGTTAGACTGTTTACTTAAAATTTCTCTAATATTTTGATGTAGGCATTTATTGTTATAAACTTTCCTCTTAGCACTGCTTTTGTTGTATCCCACGTGTTGTAATGTGCGTTTGTCTATATTTATTGGTTTCAAAGAATTGTTTTAATTTTTATCTTATTGTCTTCATTGACCCAATAGTTGTTCAGAAGCATGTAGTTTAATTTCCATGCATTTTTATAGTTTCCAAAGTTCTTTTTATTATTGATTTCTAGTTTTATAGTCTGATGAGATAATTTTCATGAGATATGGTTTCAATTTTTCTTATTTGATGAGACTTTTTTTGTGACTCAACATATGGTCTATCCTGGAGAATGTTTTATGTGCTGATGAGAAGAATGTATATTCTGTAGCTGTTGGACAGAATGTTCTGTAAATCTCTGTTTGGTTCATTTGGTCTAATGTACAGTTCAAAAACAGTGTTTCTTTGCTACTTCTCTGTCTAGATAATCTGTCTCATACTGTAAGTGGGATGTTGAAGTACCCAACTATTATAGTACTGAAGTCTCTTTCCCTTTAGGTCTAATATTTGCTTTATATATCTGGATGCTTCAATGTTGGATGCATATGTGTTTATAATTGTTGTATTATCTTGCTGAATTGATTCCTTTTTCATTTTATAATGACGTTTTTACCACTTTTTACAGTTTTTGACTTAAAGCCTATTTTATCTTATATAAGTACCACTTCTCACTTTTTTTCCATTTGCATGAAATGTATTTTCCATCTCTTTCTTTTTAGTCTATATCTATTTTAATAAAGGAGATGAGTTTCTTGTAGGCATGTAGTTGGGTCATGATTTAAAGTTCATTCATTTAAATCATTGTGTTGATTGATTTCTGGTTATTTTGTATGTCTTTTGTTTCTTTCTCTCTTATTTATCGTTGTGGTTTTGTGGATTTGCAGTAACACTTGACTCCTTGTGGTATTGTGGATTTGTGGTAACATTCGAGTTCTTCTTTATTTGTGTGTTACCTCTACTAGTGGGTTTTATATTTTCTTGCATTGTTATGATGGTAAATATGGTCCTTTGTCTGCCAGGTATAGTACTACAGCATTTCTTGTAGGCCCAGTTTAGTGGTGATGAATTCCTTCAGTTTTCACTTCTCTGGCAAATACTTTATTTCCCCTTCATTTTTGATGAATAACTTCACTGGATATAGTATTCTTGGTTAGCAGTTATTTTTGCTTTTAATATTTGGAATATATCATCTCATCTGGCCTGCAAGGTTTCTACTGAGAAATTCACTGTTAATTTGCAGAGAATTCATTTATATTTGACTAGATACTTTACTTTTTGTTGCTCTTTTTATAATTCTCTTTGTCTTTGACTCCGGCAGTTTGACAATAATGTCCCATGTAGAAGACCTTTCTGCACTGTATCCATTTTGTTTATCTCTTAGGTTCCTGTATCTGGATGTCTAAATCTCTTACTAGACTTGGGAGATTTTTCAACAATTATTTTGTCAGTTTTTTAATCCCTTAATTTTCCTTTCATCTTCTGGAACATCAAAAATTCAAGTATTTGGTCACTTTATGGTGTCCCATATGTCATGTAGGATTTCTTTATTTTTTTTTATTATTTAGTCTTTTCTTCTGTCTGATTTGATTATTTCAAAAGACTTGTTTTCAAGTCCTGAAATTTTTTCTTCTGCTTAATCTAGTCTATTTTCGAAGCTCTTGAATGCATTTTATTAAATGAAGGCTTTAGTTACAGAATTTCTATTTGTTTCTTGTTTAGGATATAGATATCTTAGGTACATTTCTTATTTATGCCCTGAATTGTTTTCTGATATCTTTGTATTGTTTTTTTCTGTATTCTCTTATACCTCACTGGGCTTTTTCAATATCAATATTGTAAATTAGTAATCCAGAACTTTATAAGTCTATTTTTGATTGAAATCTGTTGCTGAATAATTACTGTGTCCCTTTGGAGATGTCATATTTCTTTGCTGTTTTGTGTTTTTCATGTCCTTATTTTGGTATCAGTGCTTCTGGCATAATAGTCACTTCTTTCAATTTTTTGATTTTTTTTCATAAGGAACAACTTTTTCCTGAAGGTGTATTTATGATGTTGGTTGGGTACGCCACTTTGGCTTTGATTCTGCATGTGTGCAGTAGTGCAGACTTCATTCGATTTCTTCATCATAAACAGTGTCAATGGTGTCTATGATTTTCTCAGTTGCTTAGGGTAAGTTGTTAATAGAACCTGTAGTGAAGTTTGCTAGGGATGAGGATGCCCAGTGGGCTGGCTTTGGGGACTCAGTGGTGATAGCGGCAGGCAAAGCATGCCTGTCCTTTGGTTTCAGGTTATACACTAACACTCGTTTTAGTGTGTCCAGGTGGGCCAATTATTATGCTCCCAGGTGGCTTGCTCAGGTGTCAGAAGTGGCAACAGTGGGATGGGTTGCTGCAAGGGTCATTGGGCTTTTGGGCAGACGGTATGGTGTGTGCAATGGCAATAGCACCAGCATGACTAACCTCTTGGTTTCAAAAGTCTGTAGTGGTGTTGGGTGTGGCTGTAACAGGCTGGGTGGGACAGTCCCCAGGCCATGCAGGTGGGTTTCCACTGTGATGGTAGAGGCAGGTTGGGTAAGCCTAACACCAAGCTCCCAGGAGGAGTGCACTGGTGCCGATGTTGGTGGACTAAGCTAGGCAGTCCCTAGCCTCCTAGACAGCATGGTTGGGCACTAGGAGGATGGAACTGGGCTGGGCCGACCTGTCCTTAGGCTCCATGGTGGTGCATTTAGGAGTTGGCTGTAGTGGCCAAAGGAGAGGTGATCACCAGGCCCATAGTGGAATGCTTATGCAGGGTCAGCAGCAGCCTGAGAGCAGCTCTGCTACTGGGAAGGCAGGGGTTGCTTTCAGTGGCAGCTGCTGTGTGCAGGTAGCTGGGGAGGCATGCACTTTGTTTGCACTTCAACCAGGGCTGTGGCAGCACACCCTGGCAAGTTGCTGCAAGAAGGGGAGTTTGTCCTTGGGGCCTAGAACATTTCTTAAATGACTGCTTTGTGTTAAACTATACATACCTGTACTGTCCAATACAGTAGCCATTAGTCTCATGCAACTACTGAACACTTGAAATATGAAAAGCCAGATTGAGATGTGTTGTTATTGTGATATACACAGCTGATTGCAAAGACTTCAGTATGAAAAATGTAAAACAACTCATAAATAATATGTATATAGGTCACATGTCAAAGTAATTTTTTGTATATATTGGGTTACAGAAAATATGTTATATGTATTTCACTTTTTAAAAACTTTTCCACGTGTCTACTAGACAATTTAAAATTGTATAAGAGACTTACACTATATTAATATTAGACAAAGCTGAGACACAGATATCAAAATTCATATACTTTGCTTTCAAAAAGTGACAACTCTTTCTAATTTCTAATGCTTTGCCCACATGACCTCAATACTGAAAGCTCACAACTGCCTAATTATAGAGTACTTAGTGTATATTTATTTTTATTTTACAAACTAGTTAGGTGAGGCTCAAAATGGTTAATTTTTTTCAGTGTTTTACAGCTGTAAACATGGGAGAACTTTAAACCTTGACCCAGGGAGCAGTCAAAGGCGTTGTTTTCCTCCTTGTGTCTCTAGAAAGGGCATAACCTAAGATTAAAAATAACCAAAATACAAGGCAAAAGATTTTGGCACAGAGTAAGTTCAAGACTGCTTCCTGGAGAAAGTTTTAGCACTACCTACAGTCCACTGTATGCAGAATTGAAAGGCTATTTGGGCAATGATACAAATCTGTTGCTTCATATTTTTAAACTAAAAGTCAACTTGTTATCTGCATATCTGGTTTTTGATAATATCCTTATGCCTAGGCACAGTGGCTCATGCCTATAATCTCAGCACTTTGGAAGACCAAGATGAAAGTGTGGTTTGAGCCCAGCCTGGGCAACATAGTGAGACACTGTCTCTGCAAAAAATAAAAATTAGCTGGGCATGGTGGCATGCATCTGTCATCTCAGCTATTCAGGAGGAAGGATAGCTTAAGCCTGGGAGGTCAAGGCTTCAGTGAGCTGTGATCCTACCACTGCACTCCAGCCTGGGCAACAGAGTGTGATCCCGTCTCAAAATAATATCATTAATAATAATAGCTATGCATACTTGGCACCAAAATCTCACTGTTGAGCCATCTTCTGTTTCATGTTCATCAAAAGCTGTGCTGAGTTAAGAGTACGATACACTATACTTCAACTCTTTTAGAATCTCAAAGCTAAGACTTTGCATCACATAAGGCCACAACAATGCTGCATACTTTCATTCTGAACTTTAACTGTCCCTTGGAAAAGTTTTCAACATTTAGAAATATGTTCTTGGCTTTTGTCATAAGCACATAGAATAAATAGCCAAAATACATATTTTTACCATACTTTAAAAAAAATGAGAGTACATTAAGTTTAAATACACAGTTTATGAGTTTGGCCAAAGCCTATAACAATGTAATCAACAATCTAGTAAAAATATGAAACTTTTGGCTGAGCACAGTGGCTCACACTCGTAATCCCAATACTTTGGGAGGCTGAGGTGAGCAGATCATGAGGTGAGGAGTTCGAGACCAGCCTGGCCAACACTATGAAACCCCATCTCTACCAAAAATAAAAAATTAGCTGGTCATGGTGGCGGGTGCCTATAATCCCAGCTACTCGGGAGGCTGAGGAAGGAGAATTGCTTGAACCCAGGAGGCAGAGGTTACAGTGAGCCAAGATTGCGCCACTGCACTCCAGCCTGGGTGACAAGAGCAAAACTCTGTCTCAAAAAAGAAAAAAAAAATCCACAAGATATGAAACTTTTACATTATCTCCAGAAACGTTCAGTGAATCCTTACACCTTTAGACAACATTGTTATTAGTCATTTTGTCTGTAGTTATTTTTTATGTGAATGGATTAATAAAGTTTGTATTCTTTTGAGTGTACCTCTTTGTTCATTATGATATTTCATGAGATTAATTTATGTTTTGTTTGGAATTCTAAGCAACAGTCCATTGAATGAGTATAACACAATTTGTTTAACAATTCTCCTGCTGTAGGATATTTGAGTTGTTTGAGGTTTGGGACTATTATTAATAACGTGTTAAGAGAGTATATCCTGTATCAGTCATTTATTTGTGGCCAAAATTAAAAGTTCCCTGCTTTTACATTTTATAGCTGTTCATATATGTTATTCATTATGTGGTTCCATTTCCCTTATGCACAGACGTAAAATATAATTTCTGTTAAGAGTTAAGTTATAAAATTTTTGATATAATAATTACCTCCAAACCTACCTTCTAATATTATATTTTTCATGATTCTTTTCATTTTGGAACAACTGTTTCAAATATTTTTGTATATATGTGTGATTTGCAAAAATAAGAGAGTAAACAATGAAACTTAGCTGAAATGTGCTTAGTGCAATATAAGAACTACTTATAAAGGGCTATCCCTTGTAAAAGGTCGCTTTCAGTTTCATGTAAAATAAGAAGGTATTTTGGCTTGAAAGGATTATAAAAATATAAAAAGCTCAACATTTTCTTTTTTATAGAATATATAAACATTTTTGTCACTGACTTTTTTTAATGTCAAAATAAATAGTTTCTCTAACTTCTTTCCTTCAATCTCTCATTATAGAGTATAAGATGTTTTAAGAGTATTTACTCCTATTTATACCATCTAAATTTACTCCTGCTTATACCACGGATGTTTTAAACTATGTCTATGCACCTGTGAGTATATTTTTAAACTGATGATAGGACAGGTATTACTTTCCCAGGGCCGCAATAAAAAATTTCTGTAAACTTGGTGGCTTAAAACAATGTAAATGTGTTCTCTTAAAGTTCTGAATGTCAGAAGTCCACAATCAAGGTTTCTGCAGGTACACTCTCTCTCTTTCTAAAGACCTGTTTTTTTTTGTCTGTTTGTTTTTTGTTGTGTTTTTGTTTTTTCTTTATTGTTGTTGTTGTTGTTCTTCCAGCTTCTGGTGGCTCCAGGCATTCCTTAGCTTGTGGCTGCAGAACCCCAAGCTTTGCCTCCATTTTCTTCAGTCCCCCAGAGCATGCCTGCAAAACTCTGCCCCCAACTTCACATGAACTTTTCACCTGTGTGTCTCTCCTCTTTGTGTTTATTATAAGGATCTTTGTCATTAGACTTAAGACCCACTCAGATAATCTAGGTTGATCTCATCTCAAAATCCTTAACTTACATCTGCAAAGATTGTTTTCCAAATACAATCACATTCACAGGTTTTCGGATTTAGGCTGTGGGCAAATCTTTTCTGGCAGCCACCATTCAACCCTCTACAGAACCCCACACATGAATATCCTGAATTGTAATTTCCAGGAAAAAGCCCTGACAATACATTGTATAGTGACCAATTATCACCTGGCAGAAAAGTGAAAAAGAAAGGCCTAGTACACCCACATTTCTATTAGCAGCTTGACTTAGAAGTTGCTAATATCAATTCTGATCACATTTCATTGCCCGGGTCTTAGTGGTAGGAGTGTCTTATACTCGGAAAGGGGCTGAGAAGTACCGTCTCTCACTGGGGGGGTGTCGATATGCCCAAGGATCTACTACTGACAGAAAGGAGATAATTGATAGAGGTTCATAATTAGTGATCTCTACCACAACATACTTGCCTACTTATTTTTACAAAAGAAGATACCATAGCTTTTCAACCTGGTATCTATTCTCAAATTCTTCACTTAATCTGCTATAACTATAACCAAATTGGTGTATCCTCTAAACTTCCAGTTCTTTTAAATATGCAAGATGAATATATTTCACCCAAGTGTGTTAATATTTATGAGCTATTGGAGGCGTTAAGAATTATGATGTATTGTGAAGGTTGTCAGAATCAAAATGGAATTAAAACAATGTTAAAACAAAACAAATCTTAGCTAAACTAATGATAATCAAACAAAGAAATCCCAAAACCCAACAAATAGAGCCAGAGGACCATGAAGAGAGTTTTCATGCTAGTATGGCTGAAAAAAAAAAATCACAAAAGATGGCAAAAACCACCACCTTGCACAAAAGCCGTCACAATCTTACACATAAAAATATTCTGAAGATATCTTAGCAACTGCCTGTCCAACCTCAGATTGGTGTCATTCTTGTATTAATCTTTTCAGACAAGGATAATCATTTCAAAATAATTAGGTAAAACTCATTTTTCCTTTAAAACTTTGTGTTTCTTCACCTCCCTTAATATGCATATAGTTTATTATTGCATGCCTATTCCTATTGCAATGTTCTGTTCCCAAATATATATATTTTTAATTTTAGAGAGCTTGCTCTGTTATTTAGCCTGACAGTATAAAGATGCACTGTGAACTATAAAGTTCTAACTTAAATTAAAATAAGATATTATTTGAATATAGTAAAGGGAAACTATATCCTTTAAATACCATCATTCTAAAGCTGTCACAATTACGGTTAGGGCATTCAAAAATGATGTAAATGTTATATTCATAAATTGTCAAAAAGATAATTCAAAATAGAAATTATTTAAAAAATTTAAAGTACTACAACAATATTTATATCACAATTTAGCATTGTGATTTATGCATATAATCACATGCACATACAAACACTTAGATACACATGTATATTTTTCATGTAACATTGAATAAATTGTTTAAGACAACCCTTCCATTTTCCACATGAAGAATACTGGGGTTCAGAGATACTATGTAACTTGACCAGGGTAATTTAGCTGGTCAGGAACAGAATGGATACTATACAGTAATCCTCCCTGATATGCAGTTTTCACTTTTTGCAGTTTCAGTTACCTGCAGTCAGCCTACGTCCAGAAATATTCAATGGAAACTTCCAGAAATAAACAATAACTTTAAAATTGCAGGATGAGTAGCGTAATAAAATCTGACACCCTCCCTCTCCGTCATATTTGGGACTTGAATTATCCCTTTGTCTGGTGTATCCATGCAATATACACTACCTGCCTGTTGGTCACTTAGTAGCTGTCTTGGGTATCAGAAAGATTGTCACAATATCACAGTGCTTGTGTTCAAGCAGCCCGTGTTTTACTTAATAATGGCCACAAAATGCAAAAGTAGTGATGCTAGCAATTTGGATATGCCAAAGAAAAGCCATAAAATGCTTCCTATAAGTGAAAGGCGAAAGTTCCCAACTTAATGAGGGAAGGAAAAAAAATCATATGCTGAGGTTGCTGAGACCCAAAGAGATAATAAATCTTCTATCAGTGAAATTGTGAAGAAGGAGAAAAAATGTGCTAGTTTTGCTGTCACACCTGAAACTTAAAATGTTACAGCCACGGTGCATGGTAAGTAATTAGGTAAGATGGAAAAGTCATTAAATTTGTGGGTGGGAGACATGAACAGAAACATATTTCAAATGACAGCAATTGGGTTTGGTACTATCTGCAGTTTCAGGCACCCACTGGCCTCCTTGGGAGGTATCCCCTGCAAATAAAAAGAACTTCTACAATCTGTATTTCATTCTAATGCCAAAGATAAAGCTAAAACATTTATTTGCACTTTATAATGATGGAGCAAAATATTATTGTATTAATGAATCTTAGATTTTATTAAAATAAGAGTAAGATTACTACAATGACTTTAATTCTAAACATTGCCTCTTTGCTTTGAAGCAAAGATATTGAAATCTTCAGTTAAATTTAGGCAATTATGTAGGGTAAAAAAGCATGTATTTTACTATGTACCAGCTTAATTCATAATAATAAGATTTTCTAATAAAGTACATCATATAGAATTCCTAGCCTAGTGATAGGAAATGTATAATTTTATTAATTTTGTTAACTTTGCTAAATATGAGATGCCTAAAATTGGAACCATATCTTCATATGTTGCCATTGAAATTGAAAATAAATTTGATCCCTGATGAAATATTCACATTTTGTTCAGTTCAATGGAAATTAATATTGATTCATCATCTTTAGTACACTGGAGACCACATTAAAGTGTCAAACTACTAGCTTGTCATCTTCATTGACAATTAAATTTCCTTTAAAACAGAGATGTGGGAAATTGAATTTGTTCCTTGTAAATGGAAAAAAAAAAGATTGAATTGCATACTGATTCCCAGAATGATTGAATCCTTTCTGGATGAAACAGCATTAAATAAGATTATGAACAGGAGAGACTATTTTCTTTCTTTGATAATGTTAATGGATTGGATTTCAGAGTGATTGACAGAAGTTAAAGTTACTCCATTGGTTGGAAAACTAAATGGTGGAGACCTTATAGAAAATTAACAATTTGTTAAAATGCCTAGATTTGTACAGAGTCTTCTCCAACTTCTGGTTTTATAGCAGCAGAAAACCATACTAAACTCAATTCTTCAACCCTAGGTTGTACATTTGGACAGAGGAGAATAATATGCCATTGAGAAGGTTTCTGAATATTGCTTGCCCTTCCTCCTAAATCTGTAAAAGTAATGAGCAGTTCATACCTGTAATATGGTATTTCTGACTCAGTAAGCGCTTAAGGATGTTATAAGCATTCTTTGAATCCTGGGAAATATAAACATCAAGCTGGTCTTATCTGGAACCACTGAGTTCTTAAATGTGTTTGGCAAATATATATGGTAAATAGATGGGTATAATAAAAAAAGAGGATGACAAAAAAATTAAATCATTTTTATGAAATGTCTGTATATGACCAAGAAAAAAAAATCAAGCTTGGATCACTTTTGTGGAGACCATCACAATGCAGCACAAAAGCATTGATTTGTAGTTTTCAGCAAAGTGGCTTTGACATAAAATTGTGAAATAGACACTCTTCACCTCCCTTGATAATCCTTCACTATTTTATTATGAGTCCAATAAACTAACACTCTTTCTCCACATATACTTTTAAAATGTTTTTTAGTCATTTTGCTCCTATTGGCATGTAACTAATAACAGCTTTAAATTACACAGGAAGATTCATTTATACTCTGACACTCGAGGCCCCATGATTAATTCAATGTTAAGATACCTAGCATTATGTGTACCACAATATTCCCTACCCTACTGTATAAATTCACAAATCTTCTCTGATAGAAAAGACTTATGCACTGATATTCGCTATCCTATAACACTCAAATGTTTAGCAAATAAACTTTTGTCTAATATTTTCTTTAAAAATGTGTGCCAATCTCATTTTTTCTTTTTGCAAACTCTTCAAATTATATTGTGTAATATATTTTTCTTAAATCATTTTCCCCTCTACTCTTCAGATTTGATAACTTACATTGATCTGTCATCCAAAACATTGACATTCCTCCAACTGAGTAAAGTCCATCTACTTCAGTTTTAAAATTTTATTCTTATTTTTAAAATTTCTATTGTAAACACTTTATTGTATAAATTTTATGTGATTTGACATATATGTCATATATATGTCAATAATTTGTGTATCTACATATACACAAATTATTACTGCAGGTAAGAAATTCAACATATTTGTTACTTTCCATCATTACCTTTTTGTTGTTGTTGTAAGAGCACCTAAAGTCTACATCCTTGGCATATTTTTTACTATACAATGCGATATTATTAACTGTAGTATTCTTGCTGTACATTAGATCTCTAGACTACGTAATTTAAAGTTAGTGCTCTTTTATCTAATCTTTCCATTTCCTCTCATTCCCCACCTCTGATAAACACCATTCTACTCTCTGTGTTTTTGTATTTGACTTTTTTTTTTCAGGATTCCACATGTAAGTGAGATCATGATTTTTTTTTCCTGTGTCTGGCTTATGTCACTTAGCATGACATCCTCCACGTTTATTCATGTTGTTGCAAATGACAATTTCTACTTCTTTTTTAAGACTGAATAATATTCTATCATATAGAGTATAAAATCTAAAATTCATTTTTTCACTTAATTCTTAGAACACTTTTACATTTATAGAAAATTTACAAACATAATACCAAAGAGTCTCATATGCCCTGCACCCAGTTCCCCATAATGTGAACATCTTACATTAGTTTGACAGATTTGTCACAATTAACAAACAAATATTAATACTCAAGTATTAACTAAATTCCATATTTGATTAAGATATTCTCAGTTTTTACCTAATGTTGTTTGTTGTTGTTTTCATTCTAGGATCTCACCAAAGTTCTTGCATTGCATTTAGTCATTATATCTGCTCTTGGTTGTGACAGTTTCTTAGATCTCCCTGTTTTTGATGACCTTGACAGTTCTGAGTGATACTATTTGAATACTTTGTAGAATGTCCCTCAATTATTATTTGTCTGATATTTTGTCATGTTTATATTGGATTTATGTTTGTTTTTTGGTTGGAAGACCATAGAAGTAAGGTCAATTTTTTTCATATTATAACAAAGTAAATGCTATATACATGATTAATGGCTATTGATGTTGACCTTGATTGCCACGCTAAGGTAGTGTTTGTCAGGTACCTCCAGTGTAAAATTACTCTTTTTCCTCGCTGTCTATACTGTACTCTGTGGAAGGAGGCTACTATGTGCAACTCAAACACAAATATACACACACACATTAGTTTGTTTAATTTTCTGATTATTGACCATTGGAGAGCTAGCCTGGTACCCAATGGAAAAGATATTCTCCTAGAAAATGAGTTGAAACCATTTTTTTGTATTTACAAAATAATTATTATAAATAGCTTCTACATTCACGAGTGTGCTTGAAAATTGTTCTGTATAATCTTATTCTTCCATTTTCCTTTCATGTAAAATGAAACTTTTGTCAGAGAGTATGAAAATTACCTAATGACATATTTTTCTCCTATTTCTGTAGACTTCTTAAATATTTCTAGATTATTTCCATTGTTATTTCTGGACATATATTCAGATAAGGATCACACAGTGGTTGTTGTCAATGGTTTGTATATAATCGTATAACATCTTCTGTAAAACACAATCAGAATCTTTAAGCATAATCTATTAAAAAGAAAACAACTAAAAGTAAACAAAAGAAAAAATTATTTCCTCTTTTTTCCACATAACTTTTCTTTCAAGATTCTCAAGATTCTAAGCTGAATATGTCCGAATGAAATTACACTGACTTCCTTCTGTATCTATTTTATAACTTCATGCATCTTGAAATGCATTTTTATGTTCATTATTGAATTCATATCCGTGAATTTTATCTACCAAATATTTTATAGAACTGAGGAAGCATAATTTTAATGCTGATATGTGAAGTAGTTATCATTAACAATATTTTTAATAATGTGTTTTTAAGGTATTCCAGTCTTCTGGCAGGATGCAATCTTTAATCCTTTGTCCTCCATGAACTTCCTCCTCAGTAAGCTTCTCTTACTTGTTAAATTCCTATTAGGATGTCTACATGGATTCTTACAGAATGTTTTAATCACATCATTAATTAAACATCTAGACATTGATTTTACTCACTGTTTGATCTTTTACAGATCAGAACTAATTTAAAAAATTATTTCTAGAGCTACTGCATTGCTGTCTAGTGGAATAGATTTTATTGCAGATGGTCTAGAGACTTGACTGATAGATACAATCTGCCAGCATTGGCTCTTGAAGATAAGTGGTAAGGAAATAATTGCCTTCCTCCTTTAACTCTACCTCATTCACTAGCAATTCCTTATCCTGTATGAGATGACTTTACTTCCAGCTGACCTTGAGTGTATGGAAAATTTGAGAACTGCCTAGACATGGCACAAATGCAGAATACATGTAACCAATTAGTAGGAAACAAATATTAAAATATAAACAGGTAGGTGTTTAAATTAAAAAAAACAGAGAAAATCCCAAGAAATTTTTATAAATTAGAGTGAAAAAATTACCAAAAAATTTTTAATTTATCTCTTATCCATTTGACATTATCTAAGAAAGTTTGAAGGATTTTAAAGAGGCAAGTAATGGGATTAAATCTTCACTTGGGTATGTCAGACACATCAGCCACCCAAATGTCAGGAGTGACATTCCTAAGGTGAGATCATTGTATTTGTCTGTGGTAATTGTGCCCTTTATTCCTTCTCTTATTTCTCTCCACAATCCTTTCTTGCCAAAGCTGCTTTTATCCCCAGGGCCATGTCTTCAGTGTTCCTTCCCTCATTTTATAAGGAGAGGGTTTAGAAGATGGATCCTAGGTTCAGATGAGGATTAATAATTGTGTTATTTTAGCATTCATTGAGAAGATGTATTTGAAAACCTCTTCCAACAGTGATATTTCATTCATTTATTACTTGAATAGTTTCAGATAAATAATATCTGATAGAGAAACTTTTGGTAGTTTCCTTTTTTTTTTTTTTTGAGATGGAGTCTCACTCTGTCACCCAGGCTAGAGTGCAGTGGCGTAATCTCAGCTCACTGCAACCTCTCCTGGGTTCAAGTGATTCTCCTGCCTCAGTCTCCTGAGTATCTGGGAATACAGGCGCGCACCACCACACCCAGCTAATTTTTGTATTGTTAGTAGAGACGGGGTTTTACCATGTTGGCCAGGCTGGTCTTGACCTCCTGACCTCAGGTGATCCACCCGCCTTGGCCTCCCAAAGTGCTGGGATTACAGGTGTGAGCCACCGCACCCAGACTACTTTTGGTGCTTTCTAATGATACTAAAAGTATAAAGAAAATTTTCTTGGAAGTATGGAAATCACTGGACTTCTAGACAGCTTTTCTAGACAAGGAGAAGAGTTTGGGGGATGACAAATAATAGAAATTAACTTGTGCAACTCTTATTTAGGAATATAATAATGAGAGATTAAATAATAGAAAATATGCATATGCTTAATTCATAGTTACCATCCATACTTGATTAGCCATTTGTCATATCCATAATTTGAATTTTAGTTGCTCACATATTTGATGATCACAATGAAGCTTGATATTTTGCAATAAAAATAATAAAATTTGGGATTTAAGATTGTTCAGCTCAGTACGTTTCTTGTGGTCCCCTTTTATTCTCCTGAAACTGAGAGAATAAAAAGGGAGAACAAATAAACTTTTTAAAATCCTTTTTAAAAATTTCAACTTTTATTTTAGATTCAGGTTTGTTACATGGGTATATTGGGTGATGCTGAGGTTTGGCCAGGTAATGAGCATAGAATCTAGTAGTTAGTTTTCCAGCCCGCTACCCTACTTCTCCCAGTAGTCTCCAGTATTTATTGTTCTTGTCTACATGCCAACGTTTGGCTCCCACTTATGAGTGAGAACACATGGTGTTTGTTTTTCTGTTCCTGTGCTAATTTTCCTGGGATAATGGTCTCCAGCTGCATCCATGTTGCTGCAAAGAACATGATTTTTTTTATGGCTGCATAGTATTCCATGGTATACATACACCTAATTTTCTTTACCCAATCCACCATTAATGGGCACCTAACTTGATTCCATGTCTTTGTGTTTGTGAATAGTGCTTCAATGAGCATACTAGGGCATGTCTTTCTTTGGTGGAATAATTTATTTTCCTTTGGATATATAACCAGTAAAAGAATTGCTGGGTTGAATGGTGGTACCCTTTTAAGTTCTTTGAGAAATCTCCAAAATACTTTTCACAGAGGCTGAACTAATTTACATTCCCAGCAACCTTGTATAAGTGCTCCCTTTTCTCCACAGCCTCCTCATCATGTTATTTTTTGACATTTTAGTAATAGCCATTCTGACTGGCGTGAGATGGTATCTCATTATGGTTTTGATTTGCATTTCTCTAATGATTAGTAATGTTGAGAACTTTTTCATATAATTCTTGGCTGCATGTATGTCTTCTTTTGAGAAGTGTCTGTTCATGTTCTTTGCCAAGTTTTTAATGAGGTTGTTTTATGCTTGTTACTTATAGATTCTGGATATTAGACTTTTGTTGGATGTATGCTTTGCAATTATTTTCTCCCATGCTGTAGGTTTTGTGTTTACTCTGTTGATTGTTTCTTTAGTTTTGTAGAAGCTCTTTAGTTTAATTAAGTCCCATTTGTCAATTGTTGGTTTTATTGTGATTACTTTTGAAGACTTAGCCATAAATTATCTGCAAAGGCTGATGTCTGGAATATTGTTTCCTTGGTTTTCTTCTAGTAGTTTTATAGTTTGAGGTCTTACATTTAAATCTTTAATCAATATTGAGAAAATTTTAATATATGGTGAAATGTAGGGTTCCAGTTTGGTTCTTCTGCATATGGTTAGAAAACTATCCCAGCACCATTTATTGAATAGGGAGTCTTTCCTCATTGCTTATTTTTGTCTACTTTGTTGAAGATTAGATGGTTTTAGGCCTGTGGCTTTATTTCTAGGTTCTCTATTCTCTTCCATTGGTCTGTATGTCTATTTTTATATTATTACCATCTTTTTTATAGTAACCTTATAGTGTAGTTTGAAATCAGATAGCGTGATACTTCTGGATTTGTTCTTTTTGTTTAGGGTTGCTTTGGCTTTTCGGGCTCTTTTTCAGTTTCATATGAATTTTAGAACAGTTTTTTTTTTAAATCTGTGAAAAATGGCATTGGTTGTTTAATTAGAATAAAATTGAATATGCAGATTCCTTTGGGGGCAGAATGGTGATTTCAATGATATCGATGCTTCCAATCCATGAGCATGGAATGTTTTTCGATTTGTATGTGTCACCTATGCATTCTTTCAGCAGTATTTTGTAGTTCTTCTTGTAGAGATCTTTTGTCTTCTTCATTAGATGGATTCCTAGGTGGTTTTTTTTTTTTTTGGCTATTGTTAATGGGTTTGTATTCTTGATTTGGCTGTGAGCTTGAATATTATTGGTGTATAGAAATCCTACTGCTTTTTATACATTGATTTTGTATCCTAAAACATAACCGACGTCATTTTTCAGTTCTTGGAGCCTTTTGGTGGGGACATTATGGTTTGCTAGATATATAATCACATCATCAGCAAAGATAAATAATTTGACTTCTTCTTTTCCTATTTAAATTCATTTTATTCCTATATTTTGCCTGACTGCACTGGCTAAGACTTCCATTATTATGTTGAATAATGAGTGGTGATAGTGGGCATCCTTGTCTTGTTCCTGTTCTTAAGGAAAATGCTTCCAGCTTTTGCCCATTAGTATGAGGTTGGTTGTGGCTTTGTCAGAGATGGCTGTTATTATTTTGAGGTATGTCCTTTGATGCCTAGTTCATTGAGGGTTTTTATCGAGAAAGGAGACTACATTTTATCAAAAACTCTTTCTGCATCTATTGAAATGATCATAAGGTTTCTGTTTTTAATTTTGTTTATGTAGTGAATCATAATTATTGATTTGCACATGTTGACCTAGGCTTGCACCCCAGGAATACAGCCTACTTGATTGTGGTGAATTAACTTTTTGATGTGCTGCCAGATATGGTTTGCTAGTATTTTGCTGAGGAGTTTTGCATCTATGTTAATTCAGGATATTGTCCTATAGCTTCTCGTTAAGTGTTAAGATTTTCTAAATTTTCACCATGTTTACCATTCTTCCCTAAATAGGCTACTATCAGTCTGTTGTCACAAGATGTTTTATAAGGAAATAAAATCATGTTATGAGCAAAGGGATTCAGATATGAAATGCAAGGCCAATAACTGAAGAAGTTATAAAATAAGAGTTTACCCATTTTCAATTTTTTGGCCTAGTCACATCAAAGGGAAGGATTCTAGGACAAGGTTCGTTAATAGTTTGTTTTTTTAGCCAGTTCATCTCTACTGGGACCCTCTAACATCCATACTATATTTTATATTATTTCCTTTGTGTATGTGTGTGTGTGTGTGTGTGTGTTCACCTTAACATAGAAAATCACCGTAACATAGAAAATCTTTAGGGGATGAGAGCTGGGAAGGTAGAGAATGCTATCTAACCCTCTCACCGTCCTCAACAAATTGTGTCTACTCTAGTTTTCCTAAGGTAAACAGATTTGGGGACTTTAAAGACAGGAAGAGTTTCCCTAATTTCTCTGCAATTATGCTATTATATCTCTTTTCTGAGACTACGGAAGCATAATGGCTGAGCAATAGGCTAAGGTAGGAGCAAATGAAGTGAAGAGGGAATAAGAGCTTTATTTAAGTTTCAAGCCCATTATTCTGTTACATATATCTTTCTTTTCTAGTAGTGCTTTTCATATAAAAGGTCCTCATTAAACATTTGGTGAGTGAATGAGTGACCTGGAATGAACAGTGCCTGTACATAAAGTCTGAGGTGACCAGGACACCTTCCAATTTCAGAAACTACTATTAGGCAGCTGTGACCCTTGAAAGACTGTGGCTTCAGCTGGAGCTCATATAAATTCAGCATGTTAAAGAATATTAAACTTTTGTTGTTGAATATTCAAAAGTATAGCAAGTTGTTAGAAATGGCCTGAAATTTATTTTTGTTTATAAAAGTGTTCCCAGCTTTAAAATGAGCTGTTCCCAAAATTAGTGGGGCAATTTTGGTGAGATTATATTCATGAGGCCTTACACAGAACTGGGAATGAATATGAAAAAAAGCTGAAAGGACTATTTATGTATGGGAAAGTTATAAAGGAGTATGTCTGGATGAGTAAAAGTCTACTTAAAGGATTGCACCACAGCTTGTGCCTGACAACTTTGGAGACATGATTGAGGGATTAAAGTAGAACAAAGTATTTGATAAAAAGTTGCTCTGTTAGTCAGGAGGGCACACACAGGAATGCTTTGATGGCCATATGTCAATGTGTGAATCTGAATTGGAAGGGACAATTTTTCCTATACATCTGCAAGGCACAGCATTGTCATGGTGTTTTGGTGCAAAGACTCTAGGGGATTCATTATCAGGACTGATATCGTGAACATTTTGTGAGAGCTGCCAGTACAGAAGCACCAGCAGCAATAGCAGTGATGGAGAACCTGGAAGAGACATCATAGGCCATGAGCATTAGTAATATTAAGAGCAGGTAAAGAAGAGCATCAGGACATCAGGTGAGAGAATGCTCAAAGTACCAGTCAAATTGAGTGTGATGTGTCTGGGAAGCTACTAAGTGAAGGAGAGTTGTTCTTTATAATGCTGGAAGTATGTCAATAGCATGTAACATCTTAAACCACACAAAGAGGCTCACAGTGCAGCCCCATTTGTGCCCAGTATTGTCTGAATTGATGAAACAGAGTTTTCATGATTAATTCGTACATATTTGCTTGGTTTTCAAAAGATTCTTACAATCACTATCTTGGAAGAGTTAATTTAATAATATGCCCTCAGCCCAGGAGGACTCTTGGTATGATACAGTTACCTGAGATACAGTTAACTGAGATACAGTTACCAGATTAGAAAAGAAAAGTGCAGGACACTCATTTAAAACTGAATTTCAGATAAACAGCAATTTTTTTAGTGTAATATTGTTCCAAATAATACCTGGAACATACTTATATGAAAAAATGTTGTTTATTAACAATTTAAATTCAACTGGATGTTCTATCTTTCATCTAGTAACCCTACACTGGACCTGTTGCATCAGTAACCTCCATCTGCCAGGTGGCCATCACTTCTTATTTCTTTACAAAGGTGGAGGCGTGGTGAGGTTCTGCATCATATAAGATTGCACTTGACTCTGACTCTGCAGCTGCTCTGCTTGCTTCCTCATTGGTGTCCCCTGCTCCTGGGTGAGGCACTTCACTGTTCATGGCCTTCTGTCTGCGTGGGAGTGGAGCATGTTCCTGATTTGGTTTCTGCAGTCAGCACATCATCATCGATTTCCCTCGTGGTCTTCTGTGCTTCTTTCTCTCCCATTTCAATAGAGATTCCTTTCTCTAGTCACCTCTTTTAGAAGAATATACTTTAGAAAAAACTGTTTTCATTTTGTACCATACAACTATCTCCTTTCCAGGAGTAGGTGTGTAGATGGTATGCAGTAGGTGTGTAGTGATAGGTTGAAGGAACATTCAGGCACAATTAATAAAATACTGAGAAGCATTGTTTTCTACAGAAACTATACCCTAGCTCCAAGTTTCCCCACTATGTGGAGCTCCTTCCTTCTTTGTGATAATTTTTGAGTCAAAGAGTCAACTGCCTTTCTATGAAACACATTCCCATGAGTTATTCCTGATCTCAGGTTCTTCGGATGTTTGTGTAACTATGTCTGCAGTCCTATTTTGACTGAAATCAAGTTCTCTTCCTTGGGATTTCTGGACCTAAGGGAATAAGAAAATACAGTGAAACATTTGTTTTCCTATTCCTACATGAAAATTAAGAAGGCTGTTTTTTTCCTTTTGTTTGTTTCTGGATTTTTGTTTTGTTTTGTGTGGTTGGTTTTGCCTTATTTGATATTATATAGAAGACACAGAGAAAGTCAGGCTTGTCTCATCCATCTGTTTTAATTGGGTATTTTGAGTATCAGCCCTAGCCCAGATGAAACACTTTATTGGACTTTCTAGTTAAATGCTTTCTATCTCAGCCCTAGCACAGATAAAAAATTGTATTGCATTTTCTAGTTAAATACTTTCCATGTAAAGTGGATTTTTTATTCATTTGCATGTATATTCTTTCATCTTTGAAGAATAAACATATATGAGTTTTATCACTTCTTTTTCAAAGAAGAAAGGATTTATGTTTGGTAATATGTAAGATATGAGAAACATCAAGACTCAAAGATAAACTTTGCTCTCAGATGTCCGGTCACTAATTGTGCTACCCATCTCTGCACTTGAATTTCCTTTTCTGTTAGGTGAGAATAATGAACCCTGCTGTTGTGGATTTTTTTAATAGTAGGGTGCTATTACATTCTGGAATTAATCAAGGAGTTACTTAATAAAATATATTCCAGTGTATTATAAGCACCTTTAGATTTAAAAAGTGAACTTTTTAGTTGAGACTAAGGGATTTTGATCTCATACCGTGACAAGAAGATCTTGCCCATTTCTTTCATATAAAGTGGTTGAAAGAATTTAATATTCATCTCACCCTTAAATGACTTTGATGCCTGATTTTCAGCAAGCCTTTGAATTTCTCTGTTTTCAAAAATATTGCTTCCAGGGGGCAGATTGCCATGGTTTTCTCAAATTAACTTCCAGGCATGCTTATGTAAAGGGAAACTTGGTTAGTAAAATGGACAGGGTTTATTTGTCAGGGGAAATGACTCCAGAAGAAATGTAGACACAAAAGTGCCACTGTACGGAAATTGAAGAGCTGAGCTCTTACTCTCAGCTTTAACAATAAAATGCTTTGTGACACTCAGAAACCTCTTTTGACTTTCTGAGACCTCAATTTCTTTAAATCTTGAAACATAACAATAGACTACATTTGTAATTCCCAAAGACAGTTGAACAGAATCATCTTGAGGTTTTATCTTTTAAGTTAAGATTCCTAGATTCCTCCCCACAATTCATGACTCTGGCCACCCTACCTGGGAAATTTCCTTGTTCCAATGATTGCCTTACAAAACAGCAACAGTCAAGGTGCAATTGAAATAGGAGAGTTCCCTGGTCCCCCTCCCAGGATGTGCAACAGTAGTGTAGCTTGGCCCCACTGCTGCTTATAGCAGTGGGAGCATGCAGACAGGCAGGTGCAGTAGCCGGGTCCAGTGCTTCTGGGCTCTGGCCCCATGGTAGCATCTAGGGTTGCCTGTGACTCCTGAAGCCCAAGTAGGCACGAGTTACAGTGCTCTCTTTTAGATTCGCCATCTGTGGGTGGTTTAAGTGCTAAACAGCTCAGTGGGCCCTCTGCCTTTTTGCAAGGGCAGAGGGCCAGTGTGACAGCTTTCTTTATCCCCAGCTCTTGTCTGGCATCCAGGAAAAATCAGGTCATGCACAGACTTAAAGGATGGTGAATACAGAGGTTTTATTGAGTGGTGGAGGTGGCTTTCAGCGGGATGGATGGTGAGCTAGAAAGGGGATGGAGTGGGAAGATGATCTTCCCTTGGAGTTTGGCCATCCAGCAGCTGATCTTCTCTTCAACCCTCCCCAGCCAAACTCCTCTGGATGTTCGGATGTTCCTTCTCCTCTCTCCTTCTCTGCTGCACTTCTGCTTTTCTGTTCATCTTCCCATCTGCTCATGGAGCCTGGGGTTTGGGGTTTATATGGGTACAGGATGGGGGAGGAGTGGTAGGCCAAAAGGCAACATTTGGGCAAGAAGACAGGAATTCCTGTTCCCATTTAGAGCTGTGGGTTTCCAGGCTTGGGGTGGGGCTTTTGCTGGGGAACCACCCTCTTCTACCCAGAATTTCTGTCTCCTGTCCATACCACAATTGGTTTGGTGCCACAAAAAAAAAAAGTGAGTTCATAATATTTGATGTCAAAAATATGAACTGTGTTTAAGTTAAAAATACTGTATACAGGCTGAGCGCAGGGGCTCAGACCTGTAATCTCAGCAGTTTGGGAGGCCGAGGTGGGTGGATCACAAGGTCAGAAGAACGAGACCATCCTGGCTAACACGGTGAAATCCCGTCTCTACTAAAAATACAAAAAATTAGCCGGGCGTGGTGGCATGCACCTGTAGTCCCAGCTGCTGGGGAGGCTGAGGCAGGAGAATCACTTGAACCCGGGAGGCGGAGGTTTCAGTGAGCTGAGACCGCACCACTGCACTCCAGCCTGGGCAACAGAGAGAGACTCTCTCTCTCAAAAAAAAAAAAAATACTGTATACAAATAATAAATACTACATATTGAGATAAAAATGAGATTAAGAAAGTTGCAACATTAATCTAGGTAGATACAATAGATGAAAAAATACATTGTGATGAGCAGATCCTGGAAATCTGTAATTTTTATCTGTTCCAGATGGTTCTGAAGATTAGTGATGAAAAGAAATGACTGGGCTCTTTCAGCTCAAATATTTTATTTCATGTAAGGCTCTGATTGCTATCACTGATCTGTGGTTTCCTTCTATAATAGAGATGGATATTAAATAACTGACTACTCTTAAAATGAAATCATCTTTTATTTGATAGTCATATATGGTGGTCATCCTGGATTTCAAAAACCGCCTTAACAAACACACAGGAAGGAGGGCTATCTCAAGCAGTCTAATACCCATTGCTCTTTACTAGGTGGAGCATGTCCTCGTGAACTCACAGTTCTCTTTGTACTAGAGGGAGCCTGTATAGACATGCTGTCAGATCAAGCCTCTATGTTTCAAGCTAGTAGACAGATAAACTTTGTGTTTAATCCCTCAGTAGAAAGTGCAGTATTCAAGGTTTTATGAGGTGTTCTATTATATCTTTCACCTGAATTTATTTAGCATGTATTGATTATTATTTGTTTAGAACTACACACAAAAAACAAAATCATAATCCATTTGTTCCTAAAGCTGAAAAAAAGGAGATATAACAAAAGAAAAAAAGACTGTATATCATTATGAGAAAAAAATGAGTAAAATAAGCTATACAGATTTTTGAAGAAGGAAGAAATCAGTGGTGGTTAGAACAATCTAGAAAGTCTGTATGATGATAGGAGATATGCTCTGAGTGAGTAGAATTTGGTTATGCTGGAGGCGAAAAACAAAATACAGATGTTGACCTTAAACAAGTACAGGCCAGTCTTTTAATCATTGACATCCAAACCCCTGCAAAAAGTTCACCAGGTTCATTACACACCAAAGCATCTTTATTCCATTCCATACATTCCAGATGTTGTATTTTAATTTTGTCCCTCAATTTTCTATAAGTTATATAGAATCTATATAATATTTTATATATATATATATGTAAGTCATTTTCTTTCGACATAAATTCTTTGATAAAATATTGTTTGGGTTTGGGATTTTTGTTTTGTTTTGTTTTGCTTCTATGAGCACTTTTAGAGTCTAATGAAGTTTCACACGCTTATTTTCCTAATAACTCTCTGTAATCATAATTCCCTCTTTAAAAATATGGAAATGTATATAACAAGTTATTTTTACTTTTTTCCTTGGCCTGCCCTAAAGTTCAGTCACGTTGGCATTATTAGAACAGAGCAATTTCTCCATGGGCACTGTTCCTTCTAGTTTTTATCTTCATTTCAAAATAGCGGAATCTGTTTTATTATAAGTTTGAAAGTATGAGTTTTAGGTAATTGCATATTCTCCTTAAAGATCTACAATTTTCATTCTTTCTCTCAGAACATCTGCTTGTCAAGAGGATTTTTTAAATTCCATTAATTCTACCTAGATTAATGTTTCAAATGCTGTAATGTCAGTTTGTCTTAATATATAATATTATTATTTGTATACATAATTTCACTTACACATAATCTGTACTTCTGGCATTAGATAAATGTTATGAATTCATACTTCTCTGTATTACCAAACCAGTTATTCTTTGAGTGTGTCCATAACGTAAGGTTATCAGTGGCACATGGAAATGTCTCAGATAGGGTTGCCAGATAAAATACTGGATGTGCACATAAATCTTAATTTTACATAAAAAATTAATGAAATTTTGTGAATTATGCAGATATGAGTCATACTTAAAATATATTGGTTATTTTTAATTCAAATTTAATTGAATCTTCTCTCTTTATATTTGCCACACTTGGTGACCCAACCGATAAATCATTTCATCAGGCTTCTCCAAAGTTACCTGTTTTGTGTTTTTCTTCCTTTACTTTTCCATCACTTTCCTCCTTTTTCTCCTTTGCTTAGTCAACACAGACTTTTGTACATACACTCCTGCTTCTAGTTTCTCAAAAGCCATTCTCATCTGGCATATGTATGTATATATGTCTGAAACTTTTCATACCATTCCCTTATTGTCTGCTCTTAAATCTTCCATTGCTTTCTATTTCTCTTGTGATAAAGTCCAAATTTCTCACCTTCACTTTCAGGCTCCTTCTTTACTGATTGCATGTTCCTCTTCAGTTTCATTCTCAATAAGTCTCAAAATTAATGTCACACTCCAAATGCCTTGAGAATTAACCATGTATATTGTATATTTTCATCACTTTTCCCAGGTTTCTTCTGTGTCTGCAATATCTTCTCTCTTCTCATCTGATTAGCCTGTCAACCTCTGGTACAAATCTTATCTCTTGGATGCTTTCCTATACTTTTTAATATCTTTTGCAGTTACCCTCCTACTGAACTTATCTGTAACAATTACTTAAACACATGATTATAATTTGTACTTTTTTTTTTTGAAACGGAGTCTCACTCTGTAGCGAGGCTAGAGGGCAGTGGTGCGATCTCGGCTCACTGGAACCTCCGCCTCCCAGGTTTAAGCGATTCTCCTGCCTCAGCCTCTTGAGTAGCTGGGACCACAGGTGTGTGCCACCACATCCAGCTAATTTTTGTATTTTTAGTAGAGACGGGGTTTCACCATGTTGGCCAGGATGATCTCAATCTCTTGACCTTGTTATCCACCTGCCTTGGCCTCCCAAAGTGCTGGGATTACAGGCGTGAAACACCACGCCTTGTACTTTATTTTTAAACAATGTTACATTCTTTTTGTCTCCGTCATTAAAATACTATTGTTGTTGTTGTTTTTAAGATCAAAGACTATGCCACACCTTTTTTTGAGTGCTGGTCAAACAGCGGGTGTCTTAATATGGTTTGGCTGCTATAACAAAATACAGTTGACCAGATGACTTAATCTGTTTTTTTACAGTTCTGGGGGCTTTGAAGTCCAGGATTTGGTTCCTAATAAAAACCATTTTCCTGGTTTGCAAAGGGCCATCTTCTTGCTGTATTCTCACTTGACAGAGAGAGAGAGAGAGGTCATCTCTTTTGTTTCTCTTCTTATAAGGGTACTAATCTCATTCATGAGGGCTTGACTTTCATGACTTAATTACCTCCCAACCCTCCTCCCTCAATGCCATTACCTTGAGGATTAGGGTTCCAAAGTATAAATTTTGAGAGGACACATTTTGTCCACAGCAGCAGGCATTCAATAAGCATGTCTTCAACTGAATGGAAGATGATAAGGACCTCTTACTCTAAAGTGCATTGATTTCCATTGAGAAGGAAATGATTGAAGTAGTTTGGGGAAATATGGACCCAATCATACATCTGCTTTGAATATTTGCTGTGCTGGATGAAGTTTCAATTTGTTAACAATCTTAGGGGAGTTTAAGAGGGAAACCAAGTCATTATGCTTTCATCATGTAGCTTGTACGGAAAAGAACCTATGATGCTCTGAGAGATAGCATTTTTGCTGAGTTCATTTAAGTACTTAGATATCTAAAGGCATATTCTCCTTTTCATGATTGCTCATCTTTGTACCATGTCAAGTTTGAATATCTTGGATATGTTTTATCATGGCCATTGAAATAAGTCATTGCATTATATTTGGCACCAGATCAGTAGATGACAAAGTTTATACTTGATTGAAGGCATGACATTAGGAAAGTGGACATTTCAGGAATCATTCTGAACTTAGTATGATGACAAATAATAAGACACAGACACCTTTGATCTACTGACGGGGCCCAGACATGGCCTGGTATCGTTGGCTAGTACTATATCTCTAGAGTTTATATAAATCAATTTACAGGAACATTATTTATTTTTTTCTCTAAGACTATTTGCTAGAATGAGGTCAGAAAGAAAGATTAATATGACACCTAATACTGCAGCAAGAAGAAAACCATTTTACAATTAGGGTCAAATCTTAAAGAGGCAGGTGTTTTTGCTTTGCCAGAAAATATTGAATTTACAACTTCTCATTAATAATCCTGATCGATCCTATTTAAGAGACCCAGCAGCAGTGCAGCAAAGTGACACAAGAAGAGGCCTTGAGTGTTTGAAGTCCTGGGTTGACAGTTCCCTTCAGAAACTTCAGTTTTGTCATCTGAGAATTAGAAAATGCCATGGAGTTGTATAGGAATTAAAACTGAAAGTAGGTGAGTAGTGGTGTTTCTCTAATAGGAGCTCCTTAATGAGCGGGTGTGTCTGACTCCACACCTTCCCTTGCCTAAGGAACCAAAGTTTAGGTCTATGTAGGAACTTGTACAGTACTTTTATATTTTAATGTTCTTTCAAGTGTTTTGCTCATGTTCTTTTTTAAAAAATCTGCATATATAGGCAGAGCTTATATTATTCTCCCTATATTTTTTCAGAAAAAGCAACTGAGTCATAGAATAATTGTGTGATACCATGGAAAGATGACTAAATGGGAATCAGGGAAGTTTGATGAAATTTCCAACTTAGCCACTAACTATGCTATGACCTTGAGCACTCTAGTACTCTTATATTTAAAGTAAAAATGTTGAACTAGAAGTTCACTGTGTTTTCACATAACTCTGAAAGCCTGTAATGCAGCTTAGTCAGAGGCAAAATTATAAACAGAATTTGGGTTTTTCTGGATGTTAAGTGGTATAGCTTTTCTTGCTTGATCATATTGCTTCTTTTGCAGTTATTTGCAGCATTGATCTTTACATGAAGAAATCTAAATTTCTTTGCCCTTTAAAATCCAATTTAATTTAAAATTTAAATATATGTGTCTTAGAGTAAATGTTGCTCAACCACCAATGATTTGTTGTAACTGCATGGGGGACACACATAAATCAAAAATGCATTTAGAGCCCTGTCCAAATTATAAATTCAATAACTTGGTTCAAATTATAAATCAAATGACTAGTGTGCAACTGTCAATCAATCAAAATAGATTAATAACCTCAACTGAAGTGATTTGATGAACTATAGACGTTATGGAAACTGCAAGATTTCAGCTCTAATTTGAAGTGCTTTTTACAGTGTTGGCAGAATGCTTCTACCCACTGGAAAATAGGAATAGGGAAATTTATAGAACACATTCCACGGGCTTTACTCTGGCAGTTTTTTTGGTCTCACAACTGCCCTCTTCAGAATGTAGTCTTATCGCCATTATCATCTTACAGATGAGGGACTGAAGATCAGAGAGGTGAAGTAGCTTGCCTCATGTCACATGCTGATAGAATACAGAACAGGGGTCAAACCACCTGGGGAGTCTTTCTCCAGATACTGATCTTATAACAGCTACATTAGACTGTTTCTTATACAGTTCCCAGCAGAGAAGGGTGACTCGTCAATAAAATTTCATAGTTAAATTATCTTCAGTTGCAAACCACATCTAATGGTTGTAGAATATAAAGATTCTGAGAAATCTAAGGCATGTCGTTTTCACCTTTTTTTTTAAATAATAAAAAGGCGCCTTGAATGATTCTTCCTTAAATGAATTATTTTAGCTTATCAGGGCTTTTCATTCCACTTGTGTGTTTTTCGTCACTTAATAAAACTACAAGCTTGCTAAAGTTAGCAGAATTAGAAGCTTTGATTTTTTGTTTAATTTTTATAATGAGCTGCCTGAACCACTTATCCTCTACCTGCAGCTTCTTCCTTCTATAGATGCAAGAAATGCCTGGCCATGCTATGGGATTTTGTGAGGGTTATAAACAAAGGATTTCATGCCAATAACTCGGTTTTGTTTCCCATAGATAACATACGAGGTTTTAGTAATTGGATTTTATAAATTCATTTCAGATGGGTACCTACTGCAAGATAGCTTCTGTGCTAGCTATCTTCACAGGCATTATCTGATCTAAGTTTGAAAACAACACTGAGGAGGTGGTTCTTATTAGCATCAAGACTTCTTAAGTCATGAGCTCTATGGAGTTTCTTGGGAAATGTAATGAACACGAATGGCCTGTCTTACAAAAATTTAGATGACTCTATTGACCTGATATTCCAACTTCTGAGAGTAGAAAAGGTAGAACCTCAAACTCTTACTTCCCAAAGGAAGTATGGTTTCACAAAAACTTACAAAAGTTAAGCCTCTCCACATTGCAGTAACTTTCAGCATTCTCCGTAATTCTCCGGCCTGTCAGGATTCTAAGGATCCTAATAACCGCAAGAGGATAGGCTGTGTGCACTGGAGAGATAAGAGAATGAGCTTGAAGCTTTTGCCTCACACAGTACCCCCTACATTACATTTAGCAGTATGAGTGCTTTTATCGTTGTTTGATAGTAGTAGTAGCAGCAGCTGCAGGAACAGCAGCATCAGCAGTAGTACTACTAAATCCTTGGGATATGTATTTCTAGCCAATAAGCCATGAACCCTTCAAGGTAGCCTGCACCCCTGAGCTCAGGCTCATCTGCAGCCAACACTAACCACAGGCAAAATCAAGTAGCTACTGCTTGACAAATAGAGGAAGTTTATCCCTGGTACAACAAGAGACCATGAAACATGATGAAAGTAAAGAGAATATTGGTTATTATTAATAGTAAAGATTCATAGATGCCTTTACCTGTGGAAGACCTTCCCCAACTCCCTACTGAAGGTCATTACTGTTCTTAATTTAATGCTAATAATTTCCTTGATTTTAAAAGTTTTTTTTAGTTTTTTTGTTTGTTTGTTTTAATTGTGGCAAATTGAAAATAGCATTAAATTTACCATCTAAACTATTTTTAAGTATACAATTCAGTAATGTTATGGACATTCAGATTGTTGTGCAACCAAACTCCAAAACTCTTCTTGTCATGCAAAGCAAATTCTTTACGCAGTTTCCCCTCTCCTCAGCCCCTGGTAACTACCATTTAATTTTTTGTTTTTTATAAATTTGATTACTCTAACACCTCATATAAATAGAATTATACAGTATTTTTGTTTTTAAGACTGGCTTATTTCACTTAGTATAGGATTTTCAAGGTTTATATCCATGTTATACTACAGATCAAAATGTTCTTCCTTTTTAAAGCTGAATCATATTCTATTTCATGAATATACCCGATTTTGTTTACCCATTCATCTATCAATGAAAACTTGGGTTGCTTCTACATTTTGGCTATTATGAATAATGTCTCTGTGAACATAGGTAATAGATAATACCTTCCTTGAATTTATTTTTAATTTTATTGTGAACAAAAATATTTCTATACAGTGTATGATTTACTTTAACTTGTTATTGCAGAAAATTATATTCCGAGTTGCATCCATGCTTGCCAAGAAAACCTTATTTTCGTTGTTAACTCGAATTGCATTATATAATGCCATCTATTCTACTGATGATGCACATTGGATTATTTCATTTATTTTCTTGCTAATATGAACATGCTAATTTGAAAATTCTTCTACTGCATCCTAATGTGTCTTCAACAGACTTGCTACTCAACAGTGACTAAAGTATTAGAAACATCAGCATCACTTGCTACTCAACAGTGACTAAAATATTAGAAACATCAGCATCACTTTGAGTTTATTTAAAATTCAGAATACCAGGCCTCATCTGACCTCCAAATCAGAATATTTAATTTGTCAAGAACCCAGTGGAATTTGTAGGCATATTAAGGTTTGAGAAACGCTTCTGTAGAGCTGTCCTATCCTATGAGGTAGCCACTAGAAATGTATTCTATTGAGCTCTGAAATTGTGGCTATTCTGTATTGCAGTACGCTGTAAGTATAAATTACATAATAGATTTCAATGACAATATAAAAATGTAAATTATCTCAATTTTTACATAGCATATCAATATGGTAATCTTTTATAAATATTGGGTTAAAGTGTTTAATTAAATTAATTTTATCAGTTTATTTTTCCTTTCATAATATTATTGCCAGAAAATTTTTAATTATATATAAGGCTTAGGTTAAAATTCTGTAATACAGAGCTGCTCACAAATAGCAGGGGTATTCCTGTGCTATAACTTAGGAATATCTTTTATCTAGTCTGGCTCCACTCAACATAATTTGAACTTCATTATTATTTTATTTAGTAATGTGTTTAGAGTTTCCACGTTTTCCATTTTATCGCTTACCATATGATTTTTAAAAATTTTGTGGCTACATAGTAGGTATATATATTCATGAGGTATATGAGATGTTTTGATACAAGCATGCAAAGTGAAATAAGCACATCATGGCGAATGGGATATGCATCCCCTGAAGCATTTATCCTTTGAGGTACAAACAACCCAATTACCACTCTAAGTTATTTAAAAATGTACAATTAAGTTATTATTGACTATACACACCCATATGTGCTATTAAATAGTAGGTCTTATTCATTCTTTATAACTATTTTTTTGTACCCATTAACCATCTTCACCTCCACACCCAGCTCCACTATCCTTCCTAGCTTCTGGTAACCATCCTTCTGCTCTCTATGTTCATTAGTTCAATTGTTTTGATGTTTAGATCCCACAAATAAGGGAAGCATGTGTGTTGTTTTCTATGCCTGTCTTATTTCACTTATTTCACAACAACATCATAATCCAGTTCTATCCTTGAAAATGACTGAATCTCTCTTTTTTATGACTCAGTAGTACTCCATTGTACATATGTCCCACATTTTCTTTATCCATTTATCTGTTGATGGGCACTTACTTTGCTTCCAAATCTTAGCTATTGTAAACAGTGCTGCAACAAACATAGACATGCAGATATCTCTTTAACATATGCATTTCCTTTATTTGGGGTATATACCCAGCAATGGGATTACTGGATCATATGGTAGCTCTGTTTTTAGTTTTTTGAGGACCCTCCAAACTTTTCTCCACAGTGGTTGGACTAATTTACATTCCTACCAACCACGTACAAAGGTTCTCTTTTCTCCACATTATCACTAGCATTTGTTATTGCCTGTCTTTTGGATATAGGTCATTTTTACTAAGGTGAGATGATATCTCCTGGTAGTTTTGATTTGCACTTCTCTGATGATAAATGATGATGAGCACCATTTCATGTGTCTGTTTGCCATTTGTATGTCTTCTTTTGAGAAATGGCTATGCAGACTTTTGCCCATTTTTTGATCAGATTATTAGATTTTTATCCTAGAGGTTTGTTTGAGCTCCTTACATATTTCTGTTTATTACTTCTTGTCAAGTGGGTAGTTTGCAAATATTTTCTCCCATTCTGTGGATTATCTCTTTGCTTTGTTGATTGTATCCTTTGCTGTGCAGAAGCTTTTTAATTTGATGTGATCCCATTTTTCCAGTTTTGCTTTGGTTGCCTGGGCTTGTGGAGTGCTGTTCAAGAAATTTTTGACCACACCAATGTCCTGGAGATTTCCTCAGTGTTTTCTTGTAGTGCTTTCATAATTTGAGGTCTTAGATTTATTCATTACTTCAGAATCCGTTTTGATTTGATTTTTGTATATGGTGACAGACAGGGGTCTAGCTTCATTCTTCTTCATATGGATATGCAGTTTTCCTAGCACTGCTTATTGAAGAGACTATGTTTTCTCCAGTGTGTGTTCTTGCCACCTTTGTTAAAAGTTCACTGTAGATGTGGATTTGTTTTTGGGTTCTCTATTCTGTTCAATTGGTCTATGTGTCTCTTTTTATGCCACCACCATGCTGTTTTGGTTACTATAGCTCTGTAGTGTAATTTGAAGTCAGATAATTTGATTAATCCAGTTTTGTTCTTTTTGCTTGGGATAGGTTTGGCTATTCTGGGTCTTTTGTGGTTTCATGTAAATTGTAGGGATTTTTTTCTGTTTCTCTGAAGAATGTCATTGATATTTACACAGTGATTATATTGAATCTGTAGATTGTTTTGGGTAGTATGAACATTTTAACAATATTGATTCCTCCATCCCATTAGCATGGAATATCCTTCCTTGTATGTGTGTGTGTATGTGTTTATGTGTGTGTCCTCTACAGTTTCTTTCATCAGTGTTTTGTAGTTTTCATTATAGGGATCTCTCACTTATTTGGTTAATTCCCAGGTATTTAATTTTATCAGTGGCTATTGTAAATGGGTTTACCTTTTATTTCCTTTTCAGATTGTTCACTGTTGGCATATGGAAGTGCTACTGATTTTTGTATGCTGATCTTGTATCCTGAAAATTTACTGAATTTTTAAATCAGTTCTAATCGTTTATTAGTGGAGTCTTTAGGCTTTTCCAAATATTAAATTATATCATCTGCATACAGGGGTAATTTGACTTCTTCCTTTCCAATTTGGATATCCTTTATATTTTCTCTTGTGTGCTTTATCTTGTGTGCTTGCTAAAACTTCCAGTATGTTGAATAGCACTGGTGACAGTGGGCATCCTTTTCATGTTCCAGATCTCAGAAGAAAGTCTTTCATCTTTTCCCCATTAGGTATTATACAAGCTGTGGGTTCATCATATATGGTTTTTATTGTGTTGAGGTGTGTTTCTTCTATCCCCAGTTTTTTCAGGGTTTTTATCATGATGGAATGTTGAATTTCATCAAATACTTTTTCAGCATCAATTGAAATAATCTTATGCTTTTTATCTTTCATTCTGTTGATATGATGTATCACATTAATTGATTTGAAAATGGTGTACCACATTAATTGATTTGCATATGTTAGGCTATCCTTGCATCCCAGGGATAAATCCCACTTGTCCATAATGAATGATCTCTCTAATGTATTGTTGAATTCTATTTGCTAGTATTTTGTGAGGATTTTTGCATCTACCTTCAACAGAGTTTTTGGCCTATAGTTTTATTTATTTATTTAATTACTTATTTTTTTTTTGACATGTCTTTGGTTTAGGTGTCAGGTTAATACTGGCCTTGTAGAATGAGTTTGGAAGTATACCCTACTCCTCTATTTTTCTTTTAATAGCTTCAGTAGGATTGATATTAGTTCTTCTTTTATGTTTGGTATAACTCAGCAGTGAAGCCATCAGGTCTTAGGATTTTCTTTACTGGGAGATATTTTATTACGGCTTCTATCTCATTTCTTGTTATTGGTTTGTTCAGGCTTTGGATTTCTTCCTGGTTCAATCTTGGTAGGTTGTATGTGGCTAGGACTTTTTCCATTTCTTCTAGATTATCCAATTTATTGGCATATACTGGCTCTTGTTAGCTGCTAATGAGCCTTTAAATATCTGTAGTATCAGCGGTAATGTCTTCTTTATTATTTCTAATTTTATTCATTTGGATCTTCTCTCCTTTTTTTTTTTTAGTCTTGCTAATGGATTGTCAATTTTGTTTAACTTTTCAAAAAGACAACTTTTTATTTCATCAATCTTTTGTATCTTTTTATTTCATTTTTCTGTTCTGATTTTATTTTATTTTTTCTAGTAACTGTGGGTACAGTTTGCATTTGCTCTTATAGTTCTTTAAGATTCATTATTAGATTGTTCATTAGAAGTTTTTCCTCTTACTTGATGTAGGCACTTTTAGCAATAAAATTCCCTCTTAGTGCTGCTTTTGTTGTATTCCATAGGATTTGGTATCTTGTATTTCCAATATGATATGTTTCAAAGAATTTTTCAATTTCCTTATCAGTTTCTTCGGGGACTGACTGGTCATTCAGAAGCATATTGTTGAATTTCCATGCTTTTGTATAATTTCCAAAATTCCTCTTGTTAAATTTCTGTTTTTATTTCATTGTGATCAGAGAAGATGCTTGATATTTCAATTTTTTGAATGTTTTAAGACTTGTTTTGTGATCTAAATTATAGTCTATCCTTGAGAATAATCCATGTGCTAAGGATAGGAGAATAATGTTTATTCTGCATCCAATTGATGAAATGGTCTGTAAGTACTTATTAGATTCATTTGGTCTATAGTGCAGATTAAGTCTGATTTTTTTTGTTGATCTTCTATCTGGAAAATTTGTCCAATGCTGTAAATGGGTCATGAAGTCTCCAATTGTTATTGCATTGGGGCCTATCTCTCTCTTACGCTCTAATGATATTTACTTTATATATCTGGATACTTCAGTGTTCAGTGCAGATATATTTAAAATTGTTATATCCTCTCACTGAATTGACCCCTTTACCTTTATATAGTAACATTTTTTCTCTCCTTATAGTTTTTGTCTTGAAATCTATTTCGTCTAATATAAGTATAGCTACTCCTGCTTTTTTTCAGTTTCCATTCACATGGAATATCTTTTTTCATTTAAAAAAAATTTCACTGTGTGAGTCTTTACAGATTAAGTGTGTTTCTTGTAAGCACCGGATCAATGGGTCTTGTTTTTTCATCCATTTATCTAGTCTAAGTCTTTTGATTGGAGAGTTTAGTTCATTTACATTCAATGTTATTATTGATAAGTAAGAACTTCTGCTATTTTGTTATTTGTTTTATGGTTTTCTCTTTCTTCTTTCCTTCCTGTATTTTTCTATGAAGTTAATTTTTTCCAGTGATATGATTAAGTTTCTTGCTTTTTATTTTTGTGCATCCATTGTATGTTTTTTGGTTTGAGGTTATAATGAGGCTTGCAAATACTATCTTATAACCCATTATTTTAACCTGACAACAACTTAACACTATTTGCATAAACAGGAAAACAAATAAGGAAAAGGAAACGTAATAAAAACTCTACATCTTAACTTTGTCCACCCACTTTTTAACTTTTTGTTGTTTCTATTTTTATCTTATTGTACTATGTCTTAAAAAGTTGTTGTAGTTATTGTTTTTGATCGGTTCGTAGTTTAGTATTTCTACTTATGATAAGGGTAGTTTACATACCACAGTTACAATGATATTATATTCTGTATTTTTCTGTGTACTTACTATGTACCTTCAGGTGATTATTTATTGCTCATTAATGTTCTTTTCTTTCTGATTGAAACACTCCCTTTAGCATTTCTTTAGGAAAGGTCTGGTATTGATGAACTACCTCAACTTTTGTTTGTCTCACAAAGTCTTTATTTCACCTTTATGTTTGGTGGATATTTTTGCCAGATGTACTCTTCTAGGGTAAAAGTTTTTTCTTTCAGCGTTTTATATATGTCATGCCACTCTCTGCTGCATTGTAAGTTTCCCAGTGAAAAGTCTGCTTCCAGGCATATTGATGCTCCATTTTATGTTATTTGTTTCTTTTCTCTTACTGCTTGTAGGATCTTTCCTTATCCTTAACCTTTGAGAGTATGAATATTAAATGCCTCCAGGCAATTTTCTTTGGGTGAAATCTGTGTTCTATTCCCTTCTTGTACTTGAATATTAATATCTTTCCCTAGGTTTGGGAAGTTTTGAATAAACTGTCTACCCATATTTCCTTCTCAACTTCCTGATTAAGGCCAATAACTCTTAGATTTGCAATTTTGAGGCTATTTCCTAGATCCTGTAGGCATGCTTCATTATTTTGTATTCCTTTGTCTTTTGTCTCCTCTGACTGTGTTTTCAAATAGCCTGTCTCTAAGCTGACTAATTCTTCTGCTTGGTCAGTTCTGCTATTAAAGGACTCTGATGCATTCTCCAGGACACCAATTTCATTTTTCAGCTCCAGAATTTCTGCTTGATTCTTTTAAATTATATCAATCTCTTTGTTAAATTTATCTGACAAAGTTCTGAATTTCTTCTTTGTGTTTTCTTAAAATTTTTGTGCTTTTCTAACACAGCTATATTAAATTCTCTGTCAAAAGGTCTTATAATATCTGTTTCTCCAGGATTGGTCCCTGATGTTTTATTTAGTTTATTTGATGAGGTCATATTTTCCTGGATGGTGTTGATGTTAGTAGATCTTTGATGTGTGGACATTGAAGAGTTAGGTAATTATTGCAGTCTTCACTGTCTGGGCTTATTTGTAGCCATCATTCTTGGGAAAGCTTTCCAGAACTTGGTTTTTGTGATTTAACCTGTATTCACTTTTGGGGCCACCCAAGCCTAGTAATATTGTGGTTCTTGCAGATTCATGCAGGTACCATCTTCATGGTCTTGGACAAGATCTAGGGGAATTATCTGGATTACCATACAGAGATTTTTTTTCTATTCCCTTACATTCTCCCAAACATACAGAGGCCTTCTTTTGCTGTTTCAGCCACCTAAAACTGGGGGCAGAGTGACATAAACACCCCTGTGTCCACCACCAATATGGCTGTCCTGGGTCAGACCCGAAGCCAGCACAGCACTGGGTCTCACCTAGAGCCTGCTGTAATGACTCCCTGGCTACTGTCTATGTTTGCTCAAGGTTCTACAGCTCTACTATCAGCAGGTGGCAAAGCCAGCCAGACCCTGTCTTTCCCTTCAGGATGGCAAGCTCCCCCAGGCCAAGGGTGGGTCTAGAAAAGCTGTCTGGAAGTCGGGAACTGCAGTCAGAAACCTTAGTCTACCTTGTGTTCTATCGTATTGTGGCTGAGCTGGCATTCAAACCACAAGATGCAGTCCTTCCCATTCTTTTCTCCCCTTTCCAAAGGCAGAGGAGCCTCACCCCATAGCCACTGCCACCCTAGGCCACGAGGAGTACTGCAAGACTACTGCTGATACTCCCTTAAGGCCCAAGGTCTTTTAAGTCAGCTTGTTGTGAATACTGCCTGGCCTAGGACTCACCCTTCAGGGCAGGGGGCTTCTCTGTGGCCCAGGGCAGGTCCAGAAATGCCATCCAAGAGTCAAGTTCTTTAACTGGGGACCCTAATGGCCTCCTTAGTGCTCCAATCCCCTGTGACTGTGCTGATACCTGAACTCAGTTGTAGAGGCTCACCCAAGGCCCGCAATGTAGTACCTGGGTATTGCTGCTGGTTATTTAGGGTTGAAGGGCTCTTCGGTTAGCAGATGATAAATGCTTCCCAGAGTATGTCCTTTCCTTCAAAGTAGTGGGTTCCCCTCTGGCCAAGGATGTGTCTAGAAATGTCATCCAGGAGCTTGGGCCTGGGACAGGGGCCTCACGACTCTGACCAGTGTCCTATCCTACTGTAGTTGAGCTGGTATCCTAGATGCAAAACCAAGTCCTCTGCACTCTTCCCTCTCCTCTCAAGTGGAAGGAATGGGTCTCCTTTTGAGCAACAAGCTGTGCATCCTGAGTTTAGGGGAGGGGTGATGTCAGCACTGCCTTGGCTCCTCTAGCTGGTGTCTCAGTCCACTGAGTCCACTGTCTCTGGAGCTAGTTCAGCACTAAGACTTGAGTGAGAATTGCAGTCCTTATGGCCTAGACTGCCTTTCAAGTTTACTTGGAAATACAGAAGCTACAGCCTTCAGTGGTGAGTTCAATTTTAGACCACTAGGATCAATAATTTCCCTCTGACTAGGGCTGGCTAGGGCTGGTTTAAATGCTCCCTCCACAGCTAGTGCATCAGCTCAGTTTGGCCCAACTTTCCTTTCTGCTCTAACAGGGCAACACTTAGCTAAATGCTTCACAATTGGCTCTCCCTCCCGCAGCACCCAGAAAAGCTGTCTATGTCAGGCATCCCACCATGCGCATGTGTGCTTGGGGAGGGGGATGGGCGTCGGTGATTCAGAAGTGTTTTTTTCTATCTTTTCAGTGATATGAAGTTAAAACCAGGTACTATGAGTGCTCACTTGATTGTTGGTTTTTATAAAGGTGTTTTTTTTCTGTGTAGATAGTTGTTAAATTGGTGTCCTTGCAGACAGGACAATCAGTGCAGCTTTCTATGCCACTGTCTTTCTCTGCCTCCTCCAATATCTTGCTGCTCACCATTTCTTCTTGTATTTCCAATTCTTCATCTAAGATCACTTTTCTTATGTAGTCTATTCTTTGTAATTTTATCTAATTAATAATCAATTAATGGTAAACTCCATTTTTGTTTTTCTGAACATGTCTGTTTTAATCTAATTCTTGATAAATAATTTTAATACATATAAAATTCTAGGTTGACTTTCATTATCTTTCTAGTTTTTGAGGATATTAATCCTTTACCTGGTGACTTCCATTCTTGCTAAAAGCTCAGGTTTTTGTTAAATTAAATTGGTAGTAAGATAACTTGATTTTAATTGAATTTTTTTAAAACATACACATTTATTGTCCTGTATTGCACAATAATAAATTCTCATTTTATATCCCTTATATTTTTCCTCAGCCTGAGACTTTGGATCTAGTCTGTTCTTCCTTGCATAGTTATCTTCTCTTTATAAATGTAAATCATAGCTCTCTCCAGTGCCTTCCCACTCTATACCCAACTTGTTACCTCAGCCACCATACCAAAAATATGATCTATGTCCATAGAATTTCCAAGTCTCCAGGTTCTAGACTTAAGTCCTTGTTCATTTTGCCACTGACATAATTTCATTTATTCCTCCTCTTCTTTCTCCTCCTCTTGTTCTTCATCTTCCTCTTCTTCTAAAATTTAAGCATTAATTTAAGTATGAAAATTCCAATAATTTTAACTGTGTAGTTTGATGAATTTGTGTCTATGTAAATATTTTATATATATATATGTATACATGTAATATACGTATACTATATGCACATACTATGTGTATGAATACAAATACACACATACAGATATACACATAGATAACTACTACCTATATCAGAAAATTTAGAACATTTATAACATTCTAGCAGGCTCCCTTTTCCCGCATATAGTTGATATGCCACAAAGACAAATTTTATTCTCACCTTTAGTAAGACAGATTTATTCTGCTTGGTTTTGAATATTTTTTAATGGAATGATACTATATGCACTCTTTATATCTGATGTCCTTCAACATTTTATAAGATTCATCCATTGTTTTATATAGTAGGGATACATTCATTTTAATTTATATGTACTATTCTCTTGTGTGAATATTCCAGAATTTATTCATCAGTTATTCTCTTGGTAAACATTTGCATTATTTCCATTTTTTTGCTGTTATGAATAAGGCTGCTGTGAACATCTTGTGCATGCTTTTGATGGGCATACACATTCATTTTGTGGAGTTATATAGATAGGCAAAAAAGTAATTCCTGGGTCACAGAATATATGCATGTTTAGCTTTGAAAGATGTTGAGAAACAAGTTTTGTTTTCAAGCAATTGTATTAATCTTAATACCAGTTGTTCTACATCCTTGCCAATGCTTAGTATTTTTAGCTATTTTACTGTAGCCATCCTGTTGCTGAGCCCTATTTTTAACTTTTGTTGAGGCCGTATGTCTGTTTCCAAACTGTGAACAATCAACAGGTAGTAGGTAGAACTTAGATCCTGGATCATTGAGTTATACTTTATCAGTCACAATAATGTAAGTCAAAAAATAGGGATGGAAAAACATCCAGAATGGCTCTCTTGTGCTCTCTCTTGCTCTCTGTCTCTGTCTGTCCGTCTGTCTGTCTGTCTTTCTCTCTCTCTCTCTCTCTATATATATATATAATATATATATACACACACACAATCCCCTTTGTAATATATATATTTATTTAATTATATATTGCTATATATATAACATATATAGACATATTTATTATATATAATATTATATATTAAATATATATTATATAAATATATATTTTATTGAGTACAAATAGATTAAAAAATGGGATAAATGATGTAACTACTTGTAATATATATTTAATTATATATGTAAATATATATGTATATATCACATAGTTACATATATATTACATATATAAATATATAATTATCTTATTGAAGTACAAATGGATTGAAAAAATGGGATAAATGATGTAACTACTTGTTAATTACTGTAACTTGTATACCAGATAGAAGCTTAGCTGCAACACAGACCAAATTTCCAGGATATCAATTTCAGTTAACATGTGGATTTAAACTATTAGTAGGAGACTACACAGGCACTATGGGTATAAAAAAAACCATGAGGATTGAGCAGGCTGTCTTCTCCTGGCACTAATACTCACAGATAGGGAGTTAGAACTAAACATAAATAATTCTGAAAAATGTCAAAGCAGGAATTCCAAAAGAGTTATAAAAATGAAAACCGCAATTGTTCCATGAGCTCAACAGAAGGAGATTTTTTTGGTAGTTTGAATTGTAGAAATCAGAGAGAATGAATAAAGAATATACTATTTTATTTGTTTCTTGAGGAAAGCGAAGATTTCAATCGGTAAAATTGTTAGAAGGTTTTTTTTTTTTTAAGTTGAAGAAACAGCATCAGTAAAGACTAACTTCATGTTATAAAAGTGTAGATTGATTGATTCATTGATTTTAAGTAGAAAGATGAGTTTTCTTTGGTTGAAATAAAAAGTTACTGAATAATAAGACAGATCCTGGCATAGAAATGGAATAATTACTGACTAAATAGTAGAACAACAGAATAGAAGGATGAAAGAATAAATGAAAGAGTCTATTAATGAGTGAATAATCAATAAATTAGTAAAATTAGGTTTTTGGCTCACAGTTCTCCAGGGGTCCCTTGCATTGTTGCATGTCTTGTGAGTAAACACTGATTGCCCTTTTTTTCCCCCCAGAACTCTCTTCTCAAGAATGTTTTTATAGTGAATAGCTTTGTGAAATAGAGGTTTTTCAGAAACAAAATGAAGTTTTGCTTACTGTCCAATACAATAAGGAGAATGTCTTCTGGGCATAAAGGACATTTAAGAAGCTTCGGATTCCCTGAGCTCTGGGTTCCCTGTGATGCACACTCACTGCAATACAGTGTCTCTGCTCCTCCACAATGAACTTGCAGGACTTTAGGAGCAAGTGCAGATGCAAAAAGGGTGCTCACACTTCTTGCTGTACCATGAGTAAGAAATATCTCTATCTCAAACCCAGATGTTTCATGTATTCTACTAGCATCCCTGTAACTGGCAGACTAGCTGGTTCGCTTCCAAGTAGCATAAAATCTCAGACTCTTCTTCACAAAAGTAAACTTAAAAAAAATAATAAAAAGCTATATCAAGAGCTTTGGTTGACTTTTAAGAGGCTGCACTGAATTTAGCATTTAAATTACTTTTCAATGGCAAGTAATTGTTTTGGAAAAGGAGGTTATTATATTTACGAAGGAACAAAAAAGCCTGTACCTTGAAATACTCTATTTCAATTTATGAGTTTAAATATACAAACAAAAAGAAACTATATTCCTAAGAATGAAGAAATCTGGATTCTGGACCACTAGGTCTTTGTATAAAACTAATTTTGTCACTCCATATCCCTGGGTTTTAGTATTATCATCTGTAAAATGAGTCACTACACGGTTTCTAAGTCACTAGATCTAAACTTTCATTTGCTCTCATGCTGCTACCTCAATATCCAGAAGACTCCTGTGTTATATTAAAGACAATCCTCAGTATTTATTGCTTGGATAGTGGTCTAAATTTTTAACAAATGCCACATAGCAGACCTTTATGCAAGACACTTTCTCATAACAGAGGAAATACTCATTTGTATTTATGTTGATCTAGAATGTTGTTCTTTTTTAAACAAAAAAAAAAGAGAGAGAGAGAGAAATCAGCAAATACAAGGCACTTTTCTTAGATTATTTTTCTAATTAGAATAATATAGAGCTGGTCAGGTGCGGTGGCTCACGCCTGTAATCTCAGCACTTTGGGAGGCTGAGTCGTGTGGATCACCTGAGGTCAGAAGTTTGAGACCATCCTGGCCAACATGGTGAAACCCTGTCTCTACTAAAGATACAAAAAATTAGCCAGGTGTGGTGACAGGCGCCTGTAATCCCAGCTACTCTGGAGGCTGAGGCTGGAGAATTGCTTGAAACCAGGAGATAGAGGTTGCAGTGAGCTGAGATCATGCCACTGCACTCCAGCCTGGGCGACAAGAGTGAAACTCCATCTCAAAAAAAAGAATAATATAGAGCTATATTTTTGCCCTATTATATTTTATCTATGACATATATAATACATAACATCTAGTATAATGCACGTTTTATATGTATATAATTCTATATTTGTCATCTTAATCAGGAAACATCTATACAATGTTCTTTTAATCACAGATCTACTAGATCAATAGGGATTTGGCCACAAGAAATATATAAAATGGAGAACAACTGAAGTGTTACCTTTTATTTTTTAGAGTTTTCCCCACACGAAATATTCACCTAGAAGGAGTAGACATAAGATAAACTACTAGAATTCTCTCTGTCATTTCAATCTCTGATTCTCTGAAATTTTTGAGGGAATAAAAGAAAAGTACAAACAAACTTATTTACCATATTTCCTTAGAAAGGAAATATAAATTACTTGCTCAAATGTATTCCCTGGAAATACAGCCTGCTGTTACCCTTCTGGGATAACATCTATTTTAGTTATTTGTTAGAAGTTAGTATTCTTCAACATTTCTCATTTGAGCATTTTATCCTAAAAGGTATGGATGCTAACTATACAAATCGAAAACTGTGCAGAGAACACTTTATGTTCCATCTAAATATATTTGTCACTTGTATGGAAGCTGTAATCTCAAAAAAGGACACAGCAAGACTCCTTAAATGTTAGTCCTTCATAGATGATTGCTCGTAAATGAAGGCTATTTTAAAATGCCTTGTGCACCAGCATAACTTCAGACCACTTGGCTTTTCTCACAGAAAAAAAAAAAAAATGGTGGCAAAGACAAGGGAAGGAAAGAGTCTTTTTATATCATGGGCAAAATTAAGAAATGCAGTGTTATACTCGTACTTCAGATAATTATGGATTTACAATTATTCCAGTAAATTAGAGGAAAAGTTCAGTGGCCATTTCCTGGCGTGTATATCACTTATATCACTTAGTCCCCTTTACTGTTCCCATTTTTACCAGAATAAATTACTGGATACTGATGGACCATCAAGAATTGTGTGTATATATGTGTTTAAACATGTATTAGCTAGTGAGAGAGAATATGCTAAATTACAGTTTTGAAATTCTTTGTCTAGATTGTATTACAAGTCATGGATAACTTTTAGAAGACTCGTGTTATAATATGTCTGCCTTTAATAAATTCAGAGTCATTGGGAAAATCAGAAACATTGAAGAGCAGTATAGCAATATATTAATAAGTCTACAAAGATTCTATTCTTAGGTCCATAATAATGTGATCACCACTGTGTATGTGGTAGGAGTTTAAACAGACAAAGATCAGTTATGGCTGGAATGATCAGTAGAGCTTAATGGAAAAGCTGAAGATCAGTTGACCTTGAATGCAGAGAGAATTTAAAGAATGCAAAGATAAGCAGGTGAATGAATTAATATATGAAGAACGAGTGAATGAATGAAAAGGAAGCAGAAAGGTGGAAATGAATAGCCAGATAGAAGGCATTTTACATAATAAATATATTAGAACATGTTGTTGGGAGTTATCGATAAACAAAATGTTTACCGTCTCTATTCTCTTGGAGCCTACAATATAGTGGCAGACTAATAGGCTTATGCAAGGGTTTGAGGCCAGAATGTGTCACATACATTTGAGAGTGTATTGAGAAGTAAAAATAAATACAAAAGTCATCATGTTAAAGTGAAAAGTAACCTCAGAGGTCACATAGATCAGTCACATTATATATAAGATATTTGAAGTGAAGAAGTGTCAAGAACTTAACCAAAGTGACACAGATTTTAGTATCAGTGCAAAAAATGGGAACTGAATTATAAGATTTAGTATGGTATTCTTTGAGCCACATCAAATATCTCAACAGAAAGTTTAGGACCAGATAATGGAAAATCTTAAAAGCGAGTCTACAATAGTAGAGCAAATATAAGTAATATTATAAGATGTTTTGCTAAAGAGTATCTTTTGTGTCTTGTAACTTTTATGATTACATTTAGAAATATTAAGTAGCCATTTTCTTAATTTATATTTATATTAAATGGCATACATTATGGTATTTTTCTTTCACCTTATTTGATTTCTTTCTAAGTTTATTGCATTGGTTTTTATATAAGGTATCGATCATGCATTATATAGAATTTGTCAGAACCAGAACCAATTATAGACAATATCAACCATGAGAAATGATCTATGTATACATCTCATATGACACATATTGTGAATATTTTTCACAGACGTATAACTTCTATTTCAAAAGTAACTGTAAGGCAAGAAACAAATTGTTCCAAAGACAGAGGTAATTTGCTACACTTCATTTTCTTACTGACCCATATGTACTCTTGGGGTTTCATCAGAGAGACTTCCTTATGAAATAGTTATTCATTGCCCCTGATACATAGAGTATATGCTACAGAGAGAGGATAAAGCAATTATCTCTTTCATGCCTTGTAAGGACAATCAAGGAAAGCAAGATGAATCTTCACAAGTTCAGAAAGAGGAAATCTTCTGAGATTTCTCAGCGATGACTTCCCTTGGGGACCCTCTGGTTTCCTGCTGGCGGAAGTTCTCTTGTCAGAATCTTCCATTTGAGCAATGCCACTGTCCTATTTATAGAACACCCGAAGAGATGATTCAGAGCAAAGAGAAAATTGTTAACTATAGAAGGAATTTATAAAGTTTTACTAGAATGACTAAACCTAGTGACATAGGAGGGTGAAAAATACAATCATTAAACAGTGTGACATTAACCTCCTTGAAGTCAATGCTTAGTAGAGTATCTGATACAAAATATGCCTCAAATAATGACAAAAGAATGAATTCATTAATGACCTTACAACTCTACATGTAAGATATTTTGTAACTGACTATGTAAAAATGTTTAGTCAGTGGGACACCATTTCTCCCCATACAATGAGTCATTCTACAAGGGAAAAACACACACTGTTTGTTTTTATATTACTGTTAAGATACAGAAACTATCTGCAGATATTAAAGAAGATAGAATGAATAAACATTACACACCAGATTGCTGATAGGTTAGAAGCATGCACTGAGTGTTAATTTTATTAAAACAAATAATAAATAATATCAGGCTTTAACCTAGCTTAGAGTATTATGATTGAATTGAGGACCAGAAATAATAACCTAGGGAAGTGGGCAAATAGGATTAGTGCAGTCCACCACATAGATTTAAATATTCCAAAATATTAGTGAAAATATTGCCAAATGCAATAAATCCATTAATAGAATAATGTTAGTTGATTATTAGAATCACAATCTAATGACATCATGGAAAAATGAATCTAAATGTATTAGAGGTGATTTAGCTTACCTCACCTTGATGGTGAATTGTTTCTTTAATTTACTCTATAGTCTTGCAAATAATTTAACTCTGTTTCTCAATTCTTTCTACTTAAATATATACTAATTTCAGGGAGTTTATGGAAAAATGGAAAATGATTAAGTAACTAAGTTTTTAAATGTGGCAGTCAATTGAATTTCTCATTTTATAGATAAAATATAAAAAATCATAACACCATCTGTCTCAATTAGCACAAGTCCAGCAAGCAAATAAAATAAAAATAAGCAAATAAATAAATAAATAAATATATTTTGCAGGAGGGAAAAAGATATACCCAATTGGATTTCATGGTATGACAGCAGTCATTTATAGTGGACAATTAGGGTACTGTGGGAGTTACAGGAGTTAGAGGCCCTAATAATTTTAGAGTGAAGTTTCAAACCAAGAGAAGCAAAGGCTTGATTTGTTAAAACAAAGTAAAAAACATGGCTTATTACGTGTGGTAACTCACCTACTAAGGAAGGGCACACTGATTTTATGTTAATTAGGCAATTGCTGAGAATCTACAATGAGAGAAGTCCTTTAAGGCCACTTATCTCCTGAAATATTATAGACATTTATTAGATATGCACTAGTACATAGAGTCATTGTTATCTGCTTGGTATACTGAGCTGGGTTAGAGCACACAGGTGTTTCAAATTCAAGTGTGGGTGAAAATGACTATAACCTTCACTCAAAGTCACTTTACCTTTGGATTCTTGGAGGTCTTCAAGTAAACAAATTAAAGTTATAAACCAGGTAATAAAAACAGTGAGTGGAAAAGTTTCCCCATTGCCTACCTTATGACTCAAAGAATTGCATCTGAATCTTGGTGATCTTAGCAGGTTATACAACAGAGTGAGATACCCGTGAGTTTGAAAATCATGGAACTGTAGGCTCACTGCTGTTATACTTGAGCTATATCAGCACTCCGCAACAACTTTTAAAGCCCATCCACGAAAACAGTTTAGCTATTCAGAGAGTTATGGCATCAAGGAGGCCTCATGCATGGTCACTGGGTCTAGAAAATCTTGATATGAGGACACTGGGGCCATCTCCCACTGTCTCCATTTGTACTTGAGAACTTAGAGAATTTTCACTTAGGTATACATAGAGACATGCCACAAGGATTACAGACTATGACCTAACACACCTCCATTTTCACCTTTGTCTTCATTTTATAGATGGAGACATTCAAATTCAAGTGGGTTACATACGTGTTTCAAAGTCATAGAGTTAGTGAGAGTGAGACCCATTTTCCCCTGCAGTTAGTAAGAGATTTGATTTGGCAACCTTATTTAACCACACTGCAGTACTGTCTTTCCAACAGATACAAAGATTATCTGCCCTGGATAATTGAAATAGTCATCAGACTCTTTGGGCCCATGGAAATGATAGCTAGCCTAATGAAAGAATTCCCTGTATGACTTTAGGAAGGTTCTATGACTTCTCTGTACCTTAGGTTCCTCATTAGTAAAATGGGGAGAGCAATGGTGCCTACCTCAAGGGGTTGCTGGTAAAGTAAATGAGTTAATAATTAGAAAGCAACTAGGAGAGGACTTGGGTCAATGTAAGTTGTCTCATGACTATGTGTAAGTGATTATGGCTATGATTATAATGATGGTGGTGATGATGGTGATGATCATTTTTCCTTTTAGGAATGGAAGGAGAGATTCATTTATCTGTATGCCCAGTCATGGAAAGGAAATAATAATATATATTGTGTCTCGCATATTTTGGGAACACAGGTTTTGAGTTTGCCAGAATCTCAGGTTCCAGCAATGACTTATAAAGCCTGTCATCGACAAAGGATATAGTTCTGTCAGTGACTGCTACAAATAACTTGTGTTTTATGTACCAATAACCACTTTCAACCATCCCTACCAAAGTCAAGTCTCTTGTCAGATGCCCTCTATTTCCCTAATGTCACGTTTCCCTTTTGTGATTTCCTTTTTCTCTTTAAAATCAATATCAAATATTCATTTTACTTGATTACACTTCTATGAAAATAGATGGAGATAACAGAATATGCTATATCTGATGCTTAGAAACCCTTAGGGATTTTTCAGGTCATATTCTATAATCTGTCTCCCCCATTCACTGCAAAGGATTTGAAAAGGCAGCATCTGAAGAAAAACTTCGCATATTTCACATTTTGGCTTAAAGCTAGCCTGCTCTGCTACTGAGAGAATGCTTTGAAGGCTAAAATGTAAATCATTCAGGCATAGGCACATATCCAGAGGTTCTAATGTTTCTGTAGACGCCTGCTGCTGATAGCTAATAGGTTCTAGTGTTTATTTGTTTCACTCAGCAAGTTCAAATTTTATAAAACTCAATTTACTTTCAACAAAACAAGGAACAAAATTCTATGAGAATTCTATAAACTATTGGTCTGGTTTTGTCTTTTCAACTATTATATTATAATAATGACTGTCAGGTGGACATGTACATATTTCCGCTCCATGATTCTGATATTTATTTTCATTTTCATGAAGTATATTTGTTTCTAAGTTCACTCTAATAAAACAATATAAACAAGAAATAATTATACTAGTAACAACTGCCATTTATTCAATACCTTCCACTTAATTGGCTTCCACTTAAACTATTCTTGATTACTTTACATGCATTTTCTGATTTACTTTTTCCATAAGTTTAATAATCCTTTGAGATGAATATGTATGGCTACTTTACCTTGAAAAATTGAGGTTCAAAGTAATAAAATACTTTCAGAATTACATATTTAGCATGAACAGATATGTTCTCACAGCCTCTTAACCAAACCTCTCTACGTCTTGTATGCTCAACATTTATTAATATTATAAAGTGCTGTTCCAGTTTCTAGCCCCCATGTTTAAAAATATATTTTACTCTAGAAATCCTCATCAAGTGGTGCCTTTTTTTTTTGAAATGGAGTCTTGCTCTGTCGCCCAGGCTGGAGTGTAGTGGCGCGAGCCTGGCTCACTGCAAGCTCCGCCTCCCGGGTTCACGCCATTCTCCTGCTTCAGCCTCCTGAGTCGCTGGGACTCCAGGTGTCTGCCACCACGCCTAGCTAATTTTTTGTATTTTTAGTAGAGATGGGGTTTCACTGTGTTAGCCAGGATGGTCTCGATCTCCTGACCTCGTGATCTGCCCGCCTCAGCCTCCCAAAGTGAAGTCTTGCCTTTTTCTTCCATCGTCACTGCCCTAATTAAAAAAAAAAAAGGTTTTATTATTTCTAAACTGGATATGCTATTCATACTCCCCAGATTTATTCATTTCAACTAACTCTGAAGATAACAGGTGCAATCTTTACTATGCTTTTCTTACTTGTAAGGCTCTTTTCTTCTCTTTAGTTTCCTACAGGATAATAAGAATGCAGATTTCTTAGCTGACTGATAAGCAACTCATCACTTTTTGTGGGAACACATTGAACACTTCCACCAACCCACCCAGCATCCAAGCTATATTAGGCTGCTCACTATTTTCATTCACACTACAATCTTTCATGGCTCCGTATAGGGATAGGGAGACACAAAACGTTCCTCCTGGCTGGAGTGTCTTTCTCTAGCCTATTCCTCCCATCCAAAATATATAACTATTCTTAACCATCAGCTCAAGATATCCCTCCGTGCTAAAATGTAACTGCTAAGCTTTTGAAATGAAACTGGTTTCTTTCTAGGTTCCCTTAGCATTTTGACACACCTCCACTGTTTCACTGGTTGTATGGCATTAACATTTATCTGGCTATTTATCTGTTAAGTAGATGAATGAATAAAAATGAATGAATCACAGAATCAAACTTTGTATCACATTATCAAGAAAATACAAGCATTCATATATCAGGAGTCTAGAACTCTGGATCTCGTTCTGACATTTCTAGTTTGTAATCTTGGAAAATGTCATTAGCCAGTGTGTGGACTGAGGGTATTAATGCATCGCCTGCCTGGGAGCTGGGGTTTGCAACTGATTTCTATTCAACATGGCTTTTAGCTTTCAGACCTATAATTCTATGAAACAGTAATTTGAAATAGTCTCTCAATAGGTCATTATCCACAGGAAAAGAGTTATATTGAATAATTTTTATCTAAAAAAATCTTTCTGCACCCTGCCTCATCATTTACTTTTTGTTTCATCTCTATTCCAACTCTTTCATTTTGCTTGGGGCAGTCATTGTAACATGTTAGGATAGTCACCAAAATGCTGAAAAGAAACACATTTTGCCCCCGGTTAGAATAAGAATCTATTAATGCTTTATCATTCTGGTAGACAAGCATACATAGGCAATGAGTGAAATGTTGAGCCAGTTCTTGTATTAATCATCTGAAACAGCTAAGGAATTATTGCATATTTCACCATACACAGACTCCAGTTACTTAATTCTTAATATAATAAATCAGTGATCTATGAATCCCTAACATTATTCCAACTCATTATCAGATCTAAATGATTGTTTATAAAACATATAAACTCTGCTGATAAAAAGCAAACATAAAATTTCTGGTTTGGAAAATGGCATAACCTATTTGGAATATTTGATTTCTGATTTAGGCAACCTTCCAATTCTATTTAGCTTCAATATTCCTTGGATTATCTGAGTACTATTATAAGATAGAGGCCAAAATACTGTTTTTTAGGTTATTAGTTCAACTGCATAATTGGGAGACTAAAATTACCAGTGAATTTAATAAGTCAGAAAGTTATGTCTGCCCTACCTAAACAGCCTATGTAAATAATCCAAGGCTGGTGGTGCCCCTACAATTAATAAAAACCATACCTTTCTATTAAATTGTTCTGCCAAACCCACCTTGAGCTTCCAGTTTATAGTGCAAGGGGGTTACTCTGACTTTAGCTAGCCATTCTGCATTGCAGCCATTGGAAAAAGAGAAAAAAGAAAGTGTTGAAAATAACTCAACTTTAAGGACACAACCCAGTAGTTGTACAAATCACTCCTATCCACATCCTATTAGCTGGAATTTGCTGAGCATGTGGCTGCACCTTTCCCTGAGGGTGCCTGATAAATCTAGGAATTATGCAAGAGGGCCTTGGGCCCAGTTAATAATTAAATATTCTATTACTAAAGGAAGAAAGGGAGAATGGCAAATAGTTGAGAGTCTCAGTTAAAAGCGTAGCCCAACAAAACACAAGTGTTCCAAAGTAGAGGCCAGTATGGAATGAAATAAGCAAGATGTGGCTATAAAGTAAACAGGAAACTTTATCACGAAGGGTCATGTAGGCCATTTTTAAAGACTTTGGCTTTTACTTTAAGTGAAATAGGAGAGTAACTGCGGAGTTTTGAACAGGAAAGTAACACAATTTGACCTATACTTTGAAGGATTTCTCTACTTCAGCTTCTTCTCTATGAGAAGACCACCGATTTTAAAAGTAACACTTTTGAGATGTATTAGTGATAGGGACAGAAGGCAGAGAAATTCTAGGCAGAAAATGGCGAGTCCCCGGTGAAACCCTACCCTCAGCTGAAAAGCCTGAAACTGCAGCCCAAAGCGAGAGTTTATATCCTTGTCTTTTTGGTCGAATGTTGCCTTTTCCTAAACCACCCATGGCCCCTCCCTGCCCCATCCTGTGCCTATTGAAACCCCAGTCTCAGTGGGTAGATGGGACTATGGCTGGATGTTGGAGAGAAGCAGCTTGACTTCAGAGGGACAGCTTGACAGAATAACTTTGGAGAAGAATCTAGCCAGAGACAGCCAGACTTCAGGGGAAGATTACTTACCCACCTCACCCCCTTTTCAGCTCCTCTTCCCACTGAGAGCCACTTTCATCAGCAAAAAAAATAAAATAAAAAATAAAATAAAAAATAGTAATAATCCCCTGCATTTACCATCCTTCAATTCGTTAGTGAGACCTTATTTTTCCTGGATGCCGCACTACCATTCAGGAGCCGCAAGTGTGGATACAAAAGGGTGTCATGCTGATCCTTTGCCCTCGCTGGCAAAGAGCAGCTGCTTCATGCAAAAAGGCAGAGGGCCCACTGACCAGTTAACATTTAAGCCGCCCGTGGATGACAGAGCTAAAAGAGCACTGTAACATGCCCTCTAGGGGATCGGGGGCCACAGGCACCCCCACCTAGATGCTGCCACAGGGCCCACATGGAGTATGCTCCTGCCAGAGCCCAAAAGCGCTGGTTCCAGCTCCTGCATCTACTCAACTGTGTGCTCCCTCCCACAAGGGGTGGGACACAGTGGGTCCGAGTGAGTGGAGTTCGATTCCACTGCTGCTGACTCAGCTGGTCAACTCCAGCACTCTTGCACTCCAGTTCCTGCCTTATTCGCTCATGCACTCCCTCCAGCAAGGAGTTGAGAGTGGTGGGCTGAAGAAACAAGGCACCCCTGTCACAAAACCCATGAAGGGGTCAGGGAAATATCCTGCTCCATTAGGATGTTTTTGCATGGTCCAGATAAGTGATCATTATAGCTCAGATCATGTTGTCATACTAGAAATAATAAAAGTTTACATTTGTATATATATTGAAAATACAGTCAACATGATTATGGAGTGGTGTGAAACTAAGGATGTCTTAATGGTTGTTGGCTTGAAAACCCAGATATAAGGAATTTCTGGCCAGGTGAGGTGACTCACACCTGTAATCCCAGCACTTCTGGAGGCCAAGGTGGGCAGATAACTTTAAATCAGGAGTTTGAGACCAGCCTGGCCAACATGGTGAAACCCTGTCTCTACTAAAAATCCAAAATTAGCCAGGTGTGGTGGCAGTGTCTGTAATCCCAGCTACTCAGGAGGCTGAGACAGGAAAATTACTTGAACCCAGGAGGCAAAGGCTGCAGTGAGCCAAGATCATGCCACTGCACTCCAGCCTGGGTGACAGAGTGATACTCCATCTCAAAAAAAGAAAAAGAAAGAAAAAACAAAAAGAATTTCCATCAAGGTAGGGCCCAGTGGCACATGCCTGTTATCCCAGCACTTCGGGAGCCTGAGGCAGGAGAATTTCTTGAGACTAGGAGTTTGAGACCATTTGGGCAACATAGCAAGATCTTGTCTCTACTAAATAAAAATAATAATAATAATTAGCCAGGCATAGTGGCATGCACCTGTAGTCTCAGCTACAGTCTCAGGAGGCTGAGGTGGAAGGATGACTTGAGCCCAGGTGTTTAAGGTTGCAGTGAACTATGACTGCACCACTGCACTCCAGCCTGGGAAACAGAGTGAGACCTTGTTAAGAAAGAGAAAGAGAAAGAAAAAGGGAAGAAAAAGAAAGAAAGAAAGAAAGAAAGAAAGAAAGAAAGAAAGAAAGAGAAGAAAGAAAGAGAAAGGCAAAGGAAGGAAGGAAAGAAAGAAGGAACAAAGGAAGGAAGGAAGGCAAGCAAGAAAGCAAGAAAGAAAAAGAAAAGGAAGGAAGGGAGGGAGGGAGGCAGGAAGAGAGGGAGGAAGAGAGGAAGAAGAAAAAAGAGTTGCCATCAAATAGGAGGTGAAAATCTGTGGTTAGAGTAGGTCTTGTGTATAGGGAATGTCAGGAATTCACTTCTGAATACATTTTGTTTGAGATGCATACATATACAAATTGAGATGCTGAATAGACAGTTGGAAAAATAGGTATAGAGTTATGAAGAGACTCCTGAACTTGATGTATTAATTTGGGTATAGAGTGCAAGAAGATGGATATTTAAACTTGTTGGACTGAGATAACATCAACAAAGGAATAAATAGTAAAAGAAAGGGGTCCAAACTTGTCTCTTGAGGCAAATATTGAGAGTAAAACCTATAGAGAGAAAACGGTTGAAAAGAGAGAGAGAAGTAATAAAGACAAGTGAAGAAAGTGAATTAAGAAAGAGTAATTGAACACCTGTTAAAACCTAATAATTAGCTAAGCAAATAAAAATGAAGGATGGCATTATATTCAGTAGAAATTATTGGCAATCTTAAAGAGCTCAGTTTCACCAGGGTACTTGGTGTGAAAATGATTTAAATGGTTGTAAGTGATATTCAGAAAGCAGGAATTAAAACAGAAATTGTAGAAAATTTTTTCAGGAGGAAGGAAACAAAAATAGATCAATGGCTGCAAGGGAAGTAGGATATATATGTATAGAAAATAATAGAGAATAAAAAATACATCATGTATTAGTTTTCTAATCATTATTGTGCTGTGGATCTTAAGCACAATAGCAATGAAAGTAAAAGAAGAGAACAAAACAAGAACAACATTGGAAAGAAAGAAACAATCTGTAACTTTTGAAGATATATGGTTGCCTATAAAGAAAACTTAAGTCAAACATTTTTGTTATTACAGTTATTATTAGCTTATTCTTATTCTCTTGTTTTCTGTTATACTAGAATTAAAAATGATTCATGTACCACAATTTACAATATTATATTATGCTGTATTTGTTTATATATTTTCCTTTACCAGTGAGATTTATACTTTTCTATGCTTTCATGTTGTTGTTTAGCAACCTTTCATTTTAACTCGAATAAATCCCTTTAGCACTTCTCATAAGGAAGTTCTACTGATGACAAATTACCTGGTTCTTTTTTATTTCTTTTATTCTGGAAAAGTCTTTATCTCTCTTTCAATTTTAAAGGACTTTTTTTTTTCCAAGTGTAGTATTCTTGTTTGGCAGGGTTTTTTTTTTCTTTTTTTTAACAATTGAATATATCATCTCACTCTTATATCATCTCACTCTTTCTTGGCCTGCATATATCTGTTGTAAAATCTGTGTATATTCGTATGATGTTGCCTTGTATGTGACAAGTCTCTTTGCTCTTTCTTCCTTCAAAATTCTCTCCAACTTTAACTTTTGACAATTTAATTATAATGTGTCTCAGTATAGATCTCTTTATGTTTGATCTTTTTAGGATTCTTCGGGCTTTATATGTATGTTTGTATTCCTCTACAGATTTGAGAAGTTTTCAGCCGTTATTTTACTAAATAAGCTTTCTGCTTTTTTATCTTTCTCTTCTCCTGGGAATTTAATAATGAATTCATTTGATGATGTCTCATAAGTTCCATGCCTCTGACTGGGTAATTTCAAATGACATATCATCAAGCTTGCAGATTCTTTCTTCTGTTTGAATCTGCTTTTGAAGCACTCTATTGAATTGTTCAGTTCAATCATTGTATTATTTAGCTCCAGAATTTCTGCTCAGTTATTTTATATCATTTCCTTTATTTTGTTTAACTTCTCATTTTGTTCATGTATTGTTTTCCTGATTTATTCTATTTGTATATCTGTGTTGTCTTATAGCTCACTGAACTCCTTTAAGGCAATTATTTTGAAACCTTTTTCAGGCAGCTCATAGATCTCAATTTTTTAGAAATGGTTACCTGTGCCTCATTTGGGTCCTTTTGTGGTGTCGTTTTTCCCCTAATTTTTCATAATCCTTGTGGCCTTGTGTTAGTATTTGTGCATTTGATGAAGTAAGAACTTCTTCCAGTCTATACAGACTGGCTTGGAAGGGATACCCCTTTACCAGTCATCCTAGCCAAACATTTTAGGTAAGACAGCTCATGGGTTTCATGACCAGGACTGCTGGCAGGGTCTATGGACCTGGTGTCTGGGTCCACAGGTGGGCAGGGCTAACACCAAAGTCCATGTTTGAGAAGTTCAGTTGTAGTTTCTGCGGACAGTAGGTTCGGTGCCATGGTGCCAGGGACTACGGGTGAGCTGGCTCAATGCTGCAGACCACAAGTAGCCTTGCTACCCAGGTCCAGTTGGGGAAATCCTGGTGCCTGTGTCCATAATAAAGTCAGATACTCCCTTCACTCTTCTTTTCCCTCACAGAGATAACATAGGCTCAGAGATTTTTGGGGGTGCTGCACTGTGCTGGCTTGAGGAAGGGGTAACACAAGTAAAATAAAACCATGTTTTCCTGCCCTTTTCACTCATTTTTATTCATTTCTGTGTTCTACCCAGATGCTTTAACTTCTCACTTGGATTCAGAATTCTATTGAAGGTATTTTCATCTTTGGATGGTTGTTAAATCTGTATTTTGTGGGCATGTGAGGGCTGAAAACTCCCACTGTTGCTGAGGTCACTTCTAAGTTGACATTTGGCTCAATTATGTACAAACGACTTGACATTTTGAATCTACGTTTTATGTGTGTGGCAGAGACAATGCCAGGTGCTCAAAACTTTTAATTTATTTTTCTGAAAATATAGGAAGTCTATATTTCCCAGCACTTCTGGAATATATGTGCAGCTATGTAACTATATCTGGCCAAAGAGATATATACACACTTGTGTGTGTGTGTGTATATATATATATATATACACAACATTTATGGCTTCTAGTTATGATTTCTACTTTCTTTCTCTCTTGTTTTGTATACGTTTTTGAGACAGTTTTGCTCTGTTGCCCCATCTGGAGTGCAGTGGCGTGATCTTGGCTCACTGCAACCTCCACCTCCTGGGTTCAAGCAATTTTCCTGCCTCAGCCTTCCAAGTAACTGGAATTACAGGTGCACACCACCACATCCAGCTATTTTTTTTTTTTTTTTGGTATTTTTAGCAGAGACAGGGTTTCATCGTGTTGGACAGGCTGATCTTGAACTCCTGACCTCAAGGGATCAACCCACATCGGCCTCCCAAAGTTCTGGATTTATAAGTGTGAGCCACCATGCCCGGCCCTGACTTCTACTTTCAAAAGGTCTTTTTTCCTCTCTTCATTAATTTTCTATTAAAATGTGGGTGATCCAGTGGTTTATTCTGCAGCAGTGCCACTAGATAGAATGAGTCAAAACCCCTGAAATATCTTTACTGAAGTTTCCCCATTCATGGCATTCCCTACCATCCTGACATGCCAGGTACTAAGGGGTTTCCTGGTATACAGGACTTTCAGTACTAAAACCAGAATAATCCCATGCAAACCTGAACTGCTGTACACCCAACCAGGCATACTCTATAAGAAAACAGTGTAAGGGAGAAATATTATTTTATTGTATTAAGCCACTGAGATTTAGAAATTTGTTTTTGTAACAGCAATTAGCCTACCTTTAGTAACAGAAATTAATATCTCACAGTGTTAGACTACCAAAACAAACACATTGGCTTAGATAATGAATAATGAGAAAACTGATATCAAGAGCTGGAAAGATGTTGATCCATGCTTTCCCATGGGGAAGCTCTTGATAATATTGGCACTATGTTAACATTGGAGGCAGATTACTTGTATTCTAAGCTAGTAACACTAGGATAAGAAATCAGAAGTCACTTGTGTCCTCTGTGGTGGTGGTATGTTTTTAAAAATGTAAAGGGCAACTGTACTACAACTTTTGTGAAATGTAGAAAGCAATTTCATTACAATGTAAAATGTATATTAAAACCACGTTGCAGCTGCACAAAAAAAGATATCAGGCTAGATTTGTATATCGTATTCATATATATGTAAAACAAATCACAACCTCATATGCACAGATTCATAAAAAGTAATATTTTTTCTTGCATCTGTCTTCATTTAAAAAAGATTATGCAGAAAATACATCCATGTGGTATATATAAGGTCTATAGGCATCCACGTGTAAAGATATATCTTTCCCTTGCTGTCAACCACTGTTTGTCTTCCCCATTTAAAACCTTGGTGTTACATTCCTTTTCTCACTGTCTTATGTGAATCATTATTAGTTTATCATCAATTGCATTTACGTTTGTGGGTCATTAAGCCAGGCTCTTTCAACTAACTTTTAACTTTGCCAGCATTTTTATACCAATAGTACGACAATGAAACCACATAGTACTGTCACGGACTTTGTCCCAGTGAGATACACAGAAAGAGAGGACTGGACAATATTGAAAGAGCACAATTAACCCTTTCCAAAATTTTCCTTTTCTATTATTGCACTGTGGCATTTTGTTGCTTGTTATTACCATCTTTGGAAACTATCGCTTGAAAATACCACTTAAAAACCTTTAAGAAAGTTCTATTTATTATTTGAATGTTTGTGCAAATTGAAATAAAATATGCATTTCAATCACTGTTTGGATCTCTATGTTGTTCATCACACAAACCATATTAATGCTAGAGCAGCATCTTTCCAATCTTCCTAGGATAGAGTTCAGCAAGATATATCATTGATTAACTTCCTTATGATTAACTACCTTATTGTATTCAAGTCTTTTCTAAATTATTATTTTCTTAAGGAATCTTGTACCACAACCCGACTTAATATTGCAATCTCATCCCTGGGAATTTTGGCCCTTATTTTATTTCATTTTATGTTATGTTATGTTATTTTAATTTTATATTTTAAGATGGAGTCTTGCTCTGTCGCCCAGGCTGGAGGGCAGTGACGCGATCTCAGCTCACTGCAAGCTCTGCCTCTCGAGTTCACGCCATTCTCCTGACTCAGCCTCCTGAGTAGCTGGGACTACAGGCGCCCGCCACCACATCCAGCTAATGTTTTGTACTTTTAGCAGAGATGGAGTTTCACCGTGTAAGCCGGGATGGTCTCTATCTCCTGACCTGGTGATCCACCTGCCTCGATCTTTATTTTTTAATTGATTACTAATTTAATTTATTATATAAAGAGACAATATTTTCTGCATGATAACAAATCTTTGAAATATTTTGAGCTTTGCTTTATACCCCAATATATGGTCAATTTTCGTAAGTGTTCTTTATGCTTGAAATGTATTCTGCTATTGTTGAATATAATATACATTTATCCATAGATCAAATAAATTAATTACATTATTAAAGTCCTTTTATCGTTAGTAATTTTTTTTCTGCTAAAATATCAGTTACCAGCAGAAGCGTAATAAAAATCTCCCACTCAAACAGGGAATGTTTTTCCTTTTCCCCTGCAGTTATGTGAATTATTCACACATTTTTGAGACTGATATCAGTTGTATGTAAGTTTTTAGTTTTTGCATATTTGTATTCGTTGAACTTTTATCAGCATATAGATATCCTCTTTAACTCTAATAATGTTTATTGCCTTTAGATAAAGTCCAATTTTTATGGATACAAAACTTAAGCTCATTTGCCCTCTGGTTTCTTTTTGTATCTAGCTAAATGGAGGAACCAGCAAGAAATCTAATGTCAGGATAGTGTTTCTCTACCAGAGGCTACAACTTCTGTAGACTCATTCTCTCCTACAGCTGCACGTCTTGCTTTTGCCCTTTACTTCTTCAGATGTGGTGTTGGTGATGCCCCACCCTCATCAACTATCATTGCTATTCTGGGGGTGCTTCACATTGCATAGTTAGTTTTGCTTAACATGTTTGTAGATTAGTTCATTCATAAAGTGATCCTCAGTTACCTTGTTTGAGTGTATCTGGCTTATCTGTTTCATGCAGCCCAAGATACAGTAAGAAGGAGTTTGATAGAATATTTCTTCATAACATATCAACAGCCACACATTTCCCAGCTGGAATACAGTAATGGCCACCTTATCTTCCATAAACAACTCCTTCCAGATCTTAAGAGATGTTATCTAAGGTACACTATTTACATGTATCAATTTTGGAATCAGTTCAGATGCATTTAAATGCAAGTGATACCAAATTCAAGTGCTTGTAAATTAAACCTGTGACATTTACAATTTTTGAACAGAAATCATACAGAGAAATACATTTTTCCTAGGGAACATTATATGAAGTAATACATCCATATATAAACCAAAACAAATGTTACAAAAATTATAGTTGCAAACAGTACCTGTACTGCATTATGCAGTTTTCTATTCCATTCTGTGCTTCTCAGAAAATATTCTATTGCCTTCTTACATTTATTTCATGTTCAACTCACAGCCTTGCGTTTGAAAAATACTGACTACAACTCTAAGGACATTTACACAAAGCCACTCTTAGATACAAAGGAGCCTAGGAAAATGAATAGCTAATCATTTAACCTCTTTAGTAGGATATGGAAAGTGTGTGTGTGTGGGGGCAACATTTGAAAAAGCTGTAAAATAAACAATGATATCTGCAAAAAAAAATACTTACCAGGAAGGAAAAGCAAGTACCATCTTAAGTGGTGAAATATCAAAGCTATTTTCATTAAAATTATGATCAATTCAGAAATCCCCATTAGCATTATTTCCATTTAAATATGATTTTGGGGGATGACTTACAACAAGAAGACAATAAAATAATGTAAGTTATATAAATATTAGAAAAATGTGATGTATAACATGACAAAAATTTAAATAAAATGTAGAGTTACTAGAATTAATGTAAAATTTTGGCAAGCTGACTAAATACAAAATAAATAGCCAAAAATTATTTTTTTTACTAAACAAGCAATATCAAGGAAGAAATAAAAAATAAGACAATTCACTATTAGAACATTTGTTTATATTAGCATAATTACTAATTTTCCAATAATATTATGTATAGAAATCTACCCTACACAATACAATTACTGTCAGAAAAAATATATTACTAGCAGTGTTATTTATATTGATGCTGCCTCAAAATTTTCTTTAAATCTGAAAACTGACAGACTAATTAATAAATTGTGCCATATTTCTACTATGTAAATTCTTATATGCAAATATTTATGCATATTTATACTATATCCATCTAGAAATGAATGAATATAAGGTAATATGTTTATGACCTTGTAATAGGCAAACATTATCTTAAGACACAAACTGCATAACAATAAAAGAAAAAATTATATTTTATCAAAGCTAAAAACTTTGGTTTAATCAATAACATTAAGAAAATAAAGGAAAAGAAGTAGGGTAAAAATAATCAATATACAGGTATCTGATAAAGAACCCGTATCTGATATATTTTAGAACATTAGAAATAGAAAACAGTGAAATTAAATCAATTAAGAGAAAAGACTCAATCAGCTTACAAAAGAAAATACATGAATGACTTATAAGCACAGGAAAAGTCGCTCCACAACCTCAATTAGAAACAACTTCATACAAACTAGAATTGAATGTTATGGCAATTTATAAGTTAAACATACCCCTATCTAATGAGTCAGCAACTCATAGGTATTTGCCCAATTAAAACAGAAATGTATGTGCACAAAAAAGAACTATAAAAGAATTATCATAGCAGCCTTATTTGTAACAATAACTGAAAACAATTCAACCACTTATCAAGAGGAAACTGGTTAAGAAACTGATGGTATATTTATACTACTGAATAATAATTAACAATAATAAACAGGTGATTCTTACAAGCATCATTCTTAAAAGCATTTTATTGAGCAATAGGAGCCAAGCATAATAAAAACATATCCACTAACTTAAAGGACAAGAATAGGCAAATACACAAATCAGAGGTGACCGTCTTCAGGGATAAATAGAAAATAGATAATAGTTCCATTCTCCTATAATGGAACTATTCTAAGGAGTAAGTGGGTAGTTGCAAAAGTTGTTTTTTGTTTGGTGTTTTTTTTTGTTTTTTCAAAATTTCTCGAACTATACAATTAAGATCTGGGCATGTTTCTGTAAATATATCTCATTTTAAAATTATTGATTAGAAATACTAAATCATGACATATCCAAGTTTATTTTTATAGCAGACGTATCTATTGTAGTATCTTAAAATCCTTATTCACTGATATTAATTTTGCTAATTTTTTATAAGAAAAAACAAGCAAATTAACCGGTAGCAGTAAAAATTAATTTTAATTAATTGTTTTCTGTATGGTGGTATGGTTTATTGGAAATAGCACTGGCATAGGGTTTAGGTGATGCTTTTTTTTTGTCTTGGTCCTATGATTAATCTTCACAAATACATTAAACACTATGCCATTAATTTTCTTTTCTGTGAAATAAGTCGGTGCACCACTTATCAATGCACTTTCCTTCAGCTCCACGTTTACCCTTCATTGCTTGCTCTGCAAAAATGAAGATGGATCTTTCAAATACTTTTTCTTTGCATGATGAAAAGAAAAATGGTGTGATGTTAGGTAGAAGATGCTGGATGGACATTGAAGAGGAAATGTAGGTTGTCTCTTCCTGGTTCTTGTACATTTTTCTCCCCAGGCTCCTGCAGTGTGTAGTTTCTCCCATGTCTGCTTCCTGCAATGAATAGCTTTTCCAGTGTCCAGTTCCTGTGACATGCAACAGTCAAGGGGACCCAGGGCCCATCAGCTTCTCCCAGTACACACTCTGGCGATGTCAATACGTAGTGCCACCAGTGAGGTACCTCCCTTTAAATGGCCTCACTGCATTTCTTCAGGATAATCTGCAGCAAGTTCTGGGCATGAGACTTCTCTGCGGGCAGATTGCTGTAGCACCTCAAAGGGAAGATTTTCATCAATTTCCATGAGTATACTGTATCAGTGATTTCTTCATCATCTGCTACATCATGACCACACTCTTCCCATTGAGGCCTTGGTTTCTTCCATGAGTGAAAACTGTGTCTTTCTAGCATAATGTATTATTTTTTTTTAATGGGGTTCAAAGACACCACAAATTTACACGTTTAAAACAACATACGTGGCCGGGCGCAGTGGCTCACGCCTGTAATCCCAGCACTTTGGGAGGCCGAGGCGGGCGGATCACGAGGTCAGGAGATCAAGACCATCCTGGCTAACACGGTGAAACCCCGTCTCTACTAAAAATACAAAAAATTAGCCGGGCGTGGTAGCGGGCGCCTGTAGTCCCAGCTACTCGGGAGGCTGAGGCAGGAGAATGGCGTGAACCCGGGAGGCGGAGCTTGCAGTGAGCCGAGATCGCGCCACTGCACTCCAGCCTGGGCGACAGAGCGAGACTCCGTCTCAAAAAAAAAACAAACAAACAAACAAAAAAAACTTTACCTCACAACTTCTATGGGTCAGAAGTCTTGGCACGGCTAAACTGGGTTCTCTGTTCAGGGTCTCACATGACTATAATTAATGTCTTGGCCAAGTTTCATTTTCTTCTGTAGCTCAAGATTCTCTTCACAGATCATGTGGTTATTGGAGGAGTTTAATTCCTTGAAGCTGTAGGACTGAGCTCCCTGTTTTCTTTCTAGTCAGAGGCTGCTCAGCCCTTAGAACCTGCCAGGAACTTCTTGCCATGTGAAGAAGTATATGTCATGTACTTCTTCAAAGCTAGCCAGGGAGAGCTTCTTTTTCCAGTTTCCTAAGACAGAGTTTCACATAATGAAAAAACAATTAGAGCTGTGATGTCCCATCGTTTTTCAGTATTCTACTGGTTGGTAGTCACAGGTTCTACCCACGCTCAAAGGAACGGGATTTGCATGGTAAAACATCTGGGGGCAGAGATCTTGGGGCTTGCCTGAGAATTCTACCTATCCCAGATGCTCTCTCCGAATGCAAGTGATAATGGCTCTTTCTGTTTTCTGAGCTCCTTAGGGTTCCTTTTAGTTCTTACTAGCCAGTCTCCTGTTACTTCAATATCCTGCTGTAATTAATTCTTCATATCATAGAAACTTTGTCTATAAAGTGTAAAATAATAAACATTCCATGCTTTCAGAACAAATATGGTCCCTGTCATACATTGATACAAGAGTTAAGAAGAAATCACTTAGGCAAATAGTGAGGGTATGGAAGTCCTCGGTAAGGCTTTTATTTTTAATAAAATGCAGCCCTAAATTGTTTTCTAACAAAGAACATCCTGTAAAGTCGAGCAGCAGACATAAACAAGCAAGCTGGGAGCTTGCACGGGTGAATGCTAGCAGGAACTAAGGACTAGACATGCTCAAGATAGTGGCTCCATCTTCCCTTCTCTGCCAGCCATGTGTACAGTAAGAAGCAGACAAGATGGCCCTAATCAACTGGAAAGCCCATTTTCATAGTAAGATTAGGGTGGGGTGACCCACCTTCCCCATGCACTATATAACCATCATACCTGATCAAACCAATCTGTGAGCCCTATGTAAATCAGACACTGCCTCCTCAAACCTGACTATAAAATTCAGCCCTTCTGCCACACGCTGGTCCTTTCTGCTCAGACATCCCTGTTTCTATAGAGAGAACTGTTTCTCTTTCTCTTCTGCCTATTAAACCTCCGCTCCTAAACTCCTTGTGTGTGTCTGTGTCCTAAATTTTCCTGGCCTATGGCAACAAACCTCAGGGTATATACCCCAGACAATGTAGATGCTTCAGTATGCTATTTTTGGTTTTGGTATTTTAACAAATTTTAAAATCTTAAAACTTAAAAGTCATTCCTAGCTCACAGGCCATACAAAAACAGGTTATGGGCCAGATTTGGCCCATGGGCCATAGTTTTCTCTTCTCTTTCATATATTCAACTTTTCCTAGTCAAATAGCTTTGTGGTTTCTGTTTCCTGGTTGGATCTGCAGTGAAAGGAGATAGATTCTGAAAGATGAGAGTCTTTGTGGTTTCAGGCTTGAGTGCAGTGCTGAGCAATAAGGGGCAATAAGGAAAGGGATACCTCTTGGTAATCCGTGGCATGCAATGGCATCATGATTAAGCAAGCTATCTCCTGTGGTTGATGAAGTCTCAGTTGAAACAAGTCCCTTGGAGGCTCAAGAGCCTGCTGCACTAGACCAGTGTAGTAGTAGCAATGACCAGAAGGACTTTGGTATGAGAGAATATTTTTTAGTGCACTTGAACAAAAACAAAAAGAAAATGAGTTTAGATATTTCAACTTTAATTCAGATGAATATCTTATTCCTTTATAGCTACAGGGTTGATATTGTTTTAAATAAAGCACATTTAATTGTGTAATTGAACTCAATCTCATCAAGTATCTCACATGAAAGAGTATCAACTAGGAAAAGATAGGATCCTGAAATTTGGAATAAGGATATCTGGTTGAATTTAGATGACAGTCTTGAACCTCCAAGTCACTCTGAGCCTGCCTTAGTAGTGGAAGTAGCTTTCCTTACACTACTAAGTATATGAGGAGACTGGCCATCTTCCACATTAAAAAAAAAAAAAAAAAAGAAAACTTTGCTAAATTCATCTGACTTTGATGCCTTCAAAAAAGATGATCATTCTTCTTAATATGCATAACTACTCCTTGTGGTCACTTGACCCCTAACTAAGGGGCAAGAACACATGACATCTAAGAAAATACCTTATACATCAAAAGAATGATCCAAAAACATTGATAACGTATCAGTAGAAATTTGAAGAACATATGTGAGAGAGGATTCTAAGGGTGTTAGACCAAGGAGTGTGGACTATAACATTGAATTCATTAACATGATGCACTTAATAAAGATTCTGAATTTAATATGCTAGTTTGTTCAGGTTGAAATAGCTCTTACTGCTTACTTGTTTGATTGACTTAAACTTGGGCACAAAGTTTGCTGATATTTAATGAGGATGAAGTGTCAGATTTTCCCTGGCACGATGTAGAGAAATGAATCCAAAAGTTGAATTTATCATGTGTGACATGCTAAGTAATGACATATGACATGTTTCTCCCAGATGCAGTCAATAAAAAAATTCAAAAGCTACATCCTTCAATAAGCTGTTGAGAAACGTATTAATGAGGGGAACATCTACATCCTTAGGTTCTTCTTCCTTTTAGGCCAGTTATAATTGTAGGGCATGCCAGCATTAAAATAAGCTCAGTGACTTAATGTGAGTGATGAGATCCCAGAGCAGCACAGGACAAGTGACAGAACTCAACTGCCAAAGACAAAGTGGCAACATAAAGGGATGCAGGGATGTACTAATATACAGAATGCCTTGACCCTCAGAAATCTTAGGAATGTAATAGATGGGAAGACCACTAGCATATCACTTGATCTATATAACATTGAAAACTTCAGTTATGGAAGCCAAAAAAATCCTGACTTGATTTGGTACCCTGAATAGTCACATTCTCAGTCTGGTTTCCAGACTTAAGTCAATACAGAGACCCAGAGCTTCTTGATTAATAAAGAGGAAAGTGTTTCTTGAAGAAGGACCTTGCACTGTTGCTGCAAATACGTGTCACAAATGTTCTCTAAACATTCCCCAAATGCCTGCGACCATGGCTAGACAGACTATACTTAGGGAAACATGAAATACCCATACTTTTTGAGATAAATAGACCTGGCTTTGAAATGACAGTAATTTCTGAGGACCCAAAATGTCACTGTTGCCACAGTGGAGTTCTGTGGTGATCAAGTCCTAGTTGTAGTCTTAGCTCAAGTCTGACTCAGGGGTCCTAGTTAGTTCATAAATCCACCCTAATTATTATCCTACTTCCTGAATGTACAAATAGAATAAACATACTTGGGTACTACAGAATTCCCACATTTCCTTTCTGACCCTTGACGTGAGGGCAATTATAGTAGAAAAGGCTATGTTATAATCTCTGGAACTTTCATTCCCTAGAAAGATAATGTAACAGAACCAATAACACATCCTAGAGGGTGCTGTGAAGATTATTGCCATCATCAAAGATTTTAAAGAAGCATTATAAAGTATTCAGTGGGGCTATGATGTACTTTGAGTAGTACTTAGTATTGCCAGCAATGAATACAGTGACTGTTGGGCTATGACTTCTAACTTGGGAGTAAGTGTGATGACTTTTTCACTTGTAAAAATAGCTGTATCCTATTAGATAAATATAAACACTTTATTAAGTATTTTATTATTGTATATATTCAAATATGTGTAGAAGGGTTCATATGGATGGTGACTAGCCAAAGAGACGGACTATCCTAGATATTAATATATTAATTATAGTATAATGTTAATACATTAGTTAATTATATGTAATATATGTTAATGTATGAAATTAATAAAATAATTATAATATTTAAAAATCTGTATTTCACTGCTTGCTCTGGAAAAGTGGAACTGGGCCTTTTAGAGACTGTTCCTTTGTCAGCTGGTACAATATTAAGTGCTTTCAATAGATACCACTAAAAGGACACTGAAGGTGGAAGGAGTTTTTCAGTTGCTGCTTCAAGTATGCTGCTCTCACCAGATTCCTATATCATGTGGTTTCTTCAGGGCTTAGCTCCTCACTTATTTCTCTGTCATCCATTGAAGCACAGATAATCCCTCTCCAGAAAAAGCATTGATCTCAGCTGATATGGTTTGTCTGTGTCCCCACTCAAATCTCATCTTGAATTTTATCTCCCATAATCCTCACTTGTCATGAGAGACACCTGATGGGAGGCAGCTAAATCACGGGGTCAGGTTTTTCCCATGTTATTCTCATGGTAGTGAATAAGCCTCATGAGATCTGATGGTTTTATAAAGGGCAGATCCCCTGCACACGATCTCTTGCCTGCCACCATGTGACACGTGCCTTTGCTTCTCCTTCACCTTCCGCCATGATTGTGAGGCCTCCCCAGCCATGTGGAACCATGAGTCCATTAAACCTCTTTCCTTTATAAATTACCCAGTCTCAGGTATGTCTTTATAGCAGCGTGAGAACAAACTAATGCAATAAATTGGTACTGGTAAAGTGGGGTGCTGCTGTAAAGACACCCAAAAATGTGAAAGTGAATTTGGAACTTTGTGACAGGCAGAGGTTGGAACAGTTTGGAAGGCTCAGAAGAAGACAGGGAAATGTGGGAAAATTTGGAACTTCCTAAAGACTTGTTGAACGGCTTTGACCAAAATGCTGATAGTGATACGAACAATAAAGTCCAGGCTGAGGTGGTCTCAGATGGAGATGAGAAACTTTTTGGGAACAGAAGTAAAGGTCACTCTTGATATGCAAAGAGGCTGGTGGTATTTTGCTCCTACCCTAGAGATTTGTGGAACGTTGAACTTGAGAGAGATGACTTACTGTATCTTGTGGAAGAAATTTCTAAGCAGAAAAGCATTCAAGATGTGACAGAGCGTAAAAGTTTGGAAAAATTGCAGCCTGATGATGCAGTAGTAAGGAAAAAAACACATTTTCTGGGGAGAAATTCAAGCTGGCTACAGAAATTTACATAAGAAACAAGGAGCCAAATGCTAATCATCAAGACAATGGGGAAAATATGCCTAGGATATGTCAGAAACCTGTGTGGCAGCCCCTATCACAGGCCCAGAAGCCTAGGAGGGAAAAATAGTATCCTGGACTAGGTCCAGGGCAACCCTCCTAATGCAGCCTGGGAACTTGGTGACCTGCATCCCAGCCACTCCAGCATGACTGAAAGGGACAAAGATACAGCTCAGGCCATTGCTTCAGAGGGTGCAAGCCCCAAATCTTGGCAGCTTCCATGTGGTGTTGGGGCTGCAGGTGCATAGAAGACAAGAACTGAGATTTGGGAACTAATATGGTTTGGCTGTGTCTCCACCCAAATCTCATCTTGAGTTGTAGCTCCCACAATTCCCACATGTTGTGGGAAGGACCTAGTGGGAGGTAATTGGATCATGGAGGTGGGTCTTTCCTGTGCTGTTCTTGTGGTAGTGAATAAGTCTCAAGAAATCTTGATGGATTTATAAAAATCACAAGTCCTCTCTTGCCCACCATCATGTAAGAAGTCCCTTTGCTCTTCATACATCTTTTGCCATGATTGTGAGGCCTCCCCAGCCATGTGGAACTGTGAGTCCATTAAACCTCTTTTTATTTTATAAATTACCCAGTCTCAAGTATGTCTTTATCAGCAATGTGAAAATGAACTAATACAGTAAATTGGTACAAGTGGGGCACTGCTGTTAAGATACCTGAAAATATAGAAGTGACTTTGGAACTAGGTAACAGGCAGAAGTTGGAACAGTTTGGAGGGCTCAGAAGAAGATAGGAAAATGTGGGAAAGTTTGGAACTTCCTAGAGACTTGCTGAATGGCTTTGGCCAAAATGCTGATAGTGATATGGACAATGAAATCCAGGCTGAAGTGGTCTCAGATGGAGATGAGAAACTTGTTGGGAACTGGAACTAAGATGACTCTTGCTATGCTTTAGCAAGGAGACTGGCTGCATTTTTTCCCTGCCCTAGAGATATGTGGAACTTTGAACCTGAGGAAGATGATTTAGGGTAGGTGGCAGAAGAAATTTCTAAGCAGCAAAGCATTCAAAAGATTATTTGGTTCCTGTTAAGTGCATTCAGTTTTAAAATGGAAGCAGAGTATAGAAGTTCAGAAAATTTGCAGGCAGACAATGTGATAGGAAAGAAAACCCCATTTTCTGAGGAGAAATTCAAGCTGTTGGCTGCAGAAATTTGCGTAAGTAATAAGTAGCCAAATGTTAGTCCCCAAGACAGTGGGGAAAATGTCTCCAGTGTAAGTCAGAGATCTTCACAGCAGCCCCTCTCATCACAGGCCTGGAGGCCTCGAGACAAAAGTAGTTTCATGAGCTGGGCCCAGGGTCCCTCTTCTGTGTGCAGTCTAGGGACTTGGTGTCCTTCATCCCAGCTGCTCCAGCTTTGGCTAAAAGGGGCCAACCTACAGCTCTGGGCTTGGTTTCAGAGGAGGCAAGCCCCAAGCCTTGGCAGCATCCACATGGTATTGAGCCTGTGGGTACAGAGAAGTCAAGAATTGAGATTTGGGAACCTCTGGCTAGATTTCAGAGGTTTTATGGAAACACCTGGATGTCCAGGCATAAGTTTGCTGCAGAGGTGGTACCCTCATGGAGAACCTCTTCTAGGGCAGTGTGGAAGGAAAATGAGGGGTTGATATTCCCGCACAGAGCCCGCACTGGGGCACTGACTAGTGGACCTGTGAGAAGAGGGCCACCGTCCTCCAGACCCCAGAATGGCAGATCCACCAAAAGCTTGCAATCTGTGCCTGAGAAAGCCACAGACACTCAATGTCAGCTGTGAAAGCAGCCAGCAGGGGGGCTGTACCCTGCAAAACCACATGGGTAGACTTGTCCAAGGCCATGGGAGCCCACTTCTTGCATCAGCAAGACCTGGATGTGAGACGTGGAGTCAAAAGAGATCATTTTGGAACTTTAAGGTTTAATGACTGCCCTCCTGGATTTCAGACTTGCACAAAAGGCCTGTAGCCCCTTTGTTTTGGCCAATTTCTCCCATTTGGAACAGGTGTATTTTCCCAATGCCTGTGCTCCCATTGCATCTAGGAAATAGATAAGTTGTTTTGATTTTACAGGCTCCTAGGTAGAAGGGACTTGCCCTGTCTCAGATGAGACTTTGGACTTGGTTTTTTGAGTTAATGCTGGATTGAGTTAAGACTTTGAGGGACTGTTGGATAGGCCTGATTGGTTTTGAAATGTGAGGACATGAGATTTGGGAGGGGCCAGGGTGGAATGATACAAGTTGACTGTGTCTCCACCTAAATCTCATCTTGAATTGTAGCTCCCATAATCCCCACATGTCATAAAAGGGACTCAGTGAAAGGGAATTGAATCATGGGGGTGGGTTTTTCCCATGCTGTTCTCATAACAGTGAATAATTCTCATGAGATCTGATGGTTTTATAAAGGGCAGTTCACCTACAGTCTCTTGCCTGATGCCATGTAAGACAAGCCTTTGCTCCTCCTTCACCTCCTGCCATGATTGTGAGGCCTCCACACATGTGTGGAACTGTGAGTCCATTAAACATCTTTCCTTTATAAATTACCCAGTCTTGGATATCTCCTTATAGAAACATGACAATGGACTAATACATCAGCCCTGTGAATGGCGACCTCTTTTTTGAGCACTCTTCTTCAGTCTTAGGTAGTGTTAAAATCTATGATTTCTGAACTTTATAGAGTTCCATTTATTTCTTACTATCCTACATCTCATTACTCCTGTTTCTATCATAGTTAATTACTTGTTTTTGAACTTCCCCTCATTCAATTACTGTGTGTTTTGTGTCACCGGCTTGGCCCTTAACTAATACAGTTGGTTAGATTATATAATGCTTAAGATCCGTTCTGGCACTAGATGTAATTATTCTTTCATGATTGCAAAGCAAAACTTCTTATTTTCCTTTGATGAACTACATTATAGGATATGCAAAAACAACAATTAAAATACCTTTGATTCATGACACTCATATAACATGTTAGACAACATTACTTTTTATAAATTAGCTGTAATGCAGAGCTCTATTTTTCCTAACCATAGGACAAATTAAAATTGCTTTAACTTATAGTATTAATTATATATTCATCTCTGTTTTCAAAAAGAAAGAATTGCCAGGCTCCTTGGAAAAGGGTCATGTTTCCTAATCCCAGTTAAATATTCTGCATTAGAGTGATGCTTCCTTCTTAAGCACCATGTAAAAAACATGATATATATTTGCCTCACAGTAGTATTAAAATAGGCTGTATGTAATATTTCAGTTTATTGTTAATTAAAATAAATTAAGAAAAAATGGAAGCATGATAGTGAACTCATTATAATTCACTTTGAAAGAAATATATTTCACATTGTGAGGAACAGAAAATTAAGACATATTCCACTTAGTACAATGGAGTTTTCAAGGAAGGCTCTATACCCCTTTTGATATTGTGTTCTTATTAATATTAAAATGATGATATCATTGCCATTTTATAACTCCTTCATTTCTCTTCCTAAATACATGTTCCTAAAAGATAATGACAATCATCAAGTTTACAAATTCCATGAGGTCCTGCAAAAGATAAGAATTTTTCATACATTAAAATATGCATTAGCATGAATATCCTGAAGACAAGAAAACACCTTAGGTCCAGACAGAAGAAAAACACTGGGGAAAACAGAGAAAAAGTAAACTGTAAAATGTTAAGGGGAATAAAAACAGTAAATTGATGACATGGGAAATCATTAAGTTTTTGCAATTTATTTTTTTTAATCTTCTGAATATATTGGGAATACATATTAAAATTTAGAGGTGTGAATACTGTATATGCTTAACTCAAATAATTCTGATTGAAGCATATTAAACACTTGATTAACTGCCAAAAATAGAACACTTTTTTTCTGAATTTCCTTCTAACCAGCACGGTTTTTAATATCAACTAGTTTAATAAAAGTATTAAGGATGTGATAAGCCTTGAAAATAGCATCCTATAATCTTCGTCTATTTATATGCATGCCCTTGTATAATCTTCTCTCCTTGCGTGCAAAGAGTTTACATTGACTCAATTTTAATGAATAGAATATGGCAGAAATGGCAGGATATCAATTGTAAGATATAAAATGGTTGAAAATTTCATCTTCATGCATTCTCTGTCTTTCTCTCTCTCTTTCTCTCTCTCCTTCACTTTCTCTTTTTCTCTCTCCCTCAGAACTCTCACACTAGGGGGAAACAAGCTGTCTACAGGACAGAGAATTAATGTCAAAACTCAAGAGACATGAGAGCTATAAAGAGCCACATGAGTGGATCCTTTTCCCAGTTGAGCCTTTGGATGACTACAGCCCAGCCAATGTCTTGATTACTATCTTGTGAGAGACCTTGGGCCAGAGGCACCTAATTAAGGCATGCCCAGAATCCTGGCCTCCAGAAACTGCAAGATAACAAATGTTGGTCGTTTTAGACTGCTAGGTTTGGAAATAATTTATTACACAAGATTAGAAAAGTAAATATATGCAAAATATATATCAGAATAGCAGGCAAGAGAGTAGACATATGAATATGAATTATTGATTCAGATGTACAGAATACAGCAGCAATGAAAAATTGAATATTTAAAATATGCAGAGAGTCCTTGTTTGAGAAAATAAATTTACTACTTAATCTTGATGAGTTTTTATATACACCTCAAAATCAGCACCTTCCCAAAGGTGTTGCTTTATATTTGTATATATCAGTAGCAAGTTCAAGTAAATCATCTATGATTTATTCATATATACAATGAAGTTAATACAATGAATTGTCATGGTTCTTGTGGGAAATCCATGTGTGAAGCCATTTAAAGTACACTTTAATGGTAACTGGCATATTTTAAGCAATCCAATCACTACATTTTCCACCTCTTCTTTTCCTTACCTTTCCTGAACTTCTTTAATGATCATGCTTATTTCAAGCTGTCCCATTCCTCCTTATCTTCACTCAGACATTTTTTTAAAGACACTATAAGAAAGTCTGAGAAAAATAAAGCATATCTAGTAACCTTGAAATACGCTAAAAGAGTTTTAAACAAAAAAAGCTGATCCCTTGAGTAAAAAGAAATCTTTCATGGGGGCCTAGAGACCAGCAAGCCCAGACAGCCACATGATACTGCCAATATCTGTGTACTCAACCCTGGAGCCTGGGATCAGTTTACTCACCCCACCAGAAACACCACCAATTCGTGCAAGCCCCGTCAGGCACCAGAGGACTGACGTGACATTGCCAGCACAAGCACTTGTGCCTCTTGTTCAGGGATCCAAGAAACATATTACCCAAGGCCTGATGACTCTGCTACTGGCACCTGATTGTGCCACCCAGGAACCCAAGGACTGCCTTACCTGGACCACTGGTGCTCACACAGTGCACCTAAGGTAGAAAGACTGGCTCACTTGAGGTAGAACACTAGTGGTGCCTACATGTGCTACCTAGGAGCCAGAGGATTGGTTTACCAATGATTATGAAATCATATTAACATACAAAACTCACTGGAAGAGCAGATACACAAATGAGAAAGGGAAAGGAAACAAAAGTTATCACTAAGGAAAGCCACCAATTCATAAAGATAAGCAATAATAGAGGAAGAAAAGAACAAAGAATATGCAAAACAATCCGAAAACAATCAACACAATGTCAGGAGTAAGTCTTCCCCAACCGATAACAACCTTGAATGTGAATGGTTTAAATTCTTCAATTAAAAGATAGACTGGTTGAATGGATTAAAAAAAAAAAAAAAAGACCGAGCTATATCCTGCTAGAAGAAATTCAGTTTATCTGTAAAAACACACATAGACTGAGTCAAAGTTGGAAAAGTATATCCCATAAAAATAAGAGCTAAAAGCATGCAAGAGTAGCTATGTTTATATCTGACGAAATTGACTTTAAGTAAAAAAAAAAAGACAAAAAAGCTCATTATATAATCATAAAGGTACCAGTTTATCAGAAGAATATATCCATTGTAAATGTATTATGTATACACCCAACACTGGAGCATTCATTTATGTAAGGCAAATATTAGTATTAAAGAGATAGATGAACCTCAAAACAAAAATATTTGGAGATTTCAACACCCAACTTCCAGCATTGTAAATATCATCTAGACACAATATCAACAAAGAAACACAGGGATTAAACTAAAACATAGACCAAATGGAACTAACAATTACAGAATCTTTTATCCAATCACTGCAGAATACATATTCTTCTCATCAGCACAAGTGATATTCTCCAGGATAGACCATATGTCAGGCCACAAAATGAGTCACAATAAATTTAAAACAAACAAGTCACAGTAAGTTTAAAACAAAATTATTTCAAGTAACTTTTCACACCAAAATGGAATAAAAGTAGAAATCAATAACAAGAGGACCATGGCAAACTAAACAAACACAAAATGAGTCACAATAAATTTAAAACAAACAAGTCACAGTAAGTTTAAAACAAAATTATTTCAAGTAACTTTTCACACCAAAATGGAATAAAAGTAGAAATCAATAACAAGAGGACCATGGCAAACTAAACAAATACATGGAAATTAAATAAAATGCTCCTGAATGACGACTGGGTTAATGAATAAATTATAAAAGGAATCATAACATTTTGTGAAACCAACGAAAATAAAAACACTGCATACCTAAAGCTATGGGATACAGCAAGAGCAGTACTAAGATAAAATTTATAATGATAAACGCCTACATTAAACAGTGGAAGGATTTCAAATAATCTAATGATGCCCCTCAAAAAACTGAAAAAGCAACAACAAACAAAACTAAAAATTAATGGAAAGAAAGAATAAAAGCGAACCAGAACTAAGTGAAATAGAGCCTACAAAAACAATACAAAATATCAATGAAATGAAAAGTTGGTTTTTTTGGAAAGATAAATTTAAAAATCATTAGCTAGATTAAAACAGACATAAGTACCAAATAAAATCAAAAACAAAAAAAAAGACATTGCAATTAGTACTACAGAAGTATAAAGGATCATTATTAACTACTGAAAGCAACTGTGCCCCTCACAGATTGGAAAACCTAGAAGAAATAAACAATTCATAAACATATATAACCTACCAAGACTGAACCAAGAAGAAATAGAAAACTTGAAGAAGAAATAGAAAACTTGAATAGACCAATAACAAATAAAGAAATTGGATCGGTAATGAAAGTGTCCCAGTAAAGAAAAGCTCAAGTCTGGATGGCTTTAATGCTACATTCTACCAAACTTACAAAAACTTAACACCCATTAAAAACAAACAAACAAACAAAAACTATTCCAAAACATTAAAAAGGAGGGAATTTCTTTTTAGGTCATTCCATGAAACCAACATTACTCTGATACCTAGACCAGGCAAAGATGCAACCAACAAAGAAAGGTACATACAGTCCTGTATCCCTGATAAATACAGACACAAAAATTCTCAACAAAATGCTAGCAAATCAAATATAACAAGGCATCAAAACGATAGTACATCATAATAAATTATAATTCTTCCCAGGGATGCAAGAATGTTTTAATATGCACAAATCTATAATTGTGATACATAATATCAGTATAATAAAGGACAAAACCCATCGGATTTTCTCAATAAACTCAGAAAAAGCCTTTGATAATATTTAGCATCTTTCATGATAAAGACTCACAACAAATTGGGTATAGAAGGAAAATACATCTAAACAATAAAGGCCACATATAACAAACTCACAGTTAACATCATACTGAACTGGAGAAAATAAAATGAAAGCCTTTTATCGAAGTTCAGAAACAAAACTAGGATGCTCATTTTTACCACTTTTATTAAATGGTGTACTGGAAGTCTTAGTCAAAGCTATTAGGCAAGAGAAAAAATAAGGGGCATCCAAATAGGAATGGAGTAAGTCAAATTGTCTTTGCTTGTAGAAAACATGATCTGATATTTAGAAAAACCTAGTGACTCCAACTAAAAACTATTAGAACTGAAAAATAAATTCAGGCTGGGCACAGTGGCTCACGCCTGTAATCCCAGCACTTTGGCAGGCCAACGTGGGCAGATCACCTGATGTCAGGAGTTTGAGACCAATCTGGCTAAGGTGGGGAAACCCTGTCTCTACTAAAAATACAAAACTTAGCCAAGCGTGGTGATGCCCGCCCATAATCCCAGCTACTCTGGAGGCTGAGGCAGGATAATCACTTGAACCTGAGAGGCGAAGGTTGCAGTGAGCAGAGATCATGCCACTGCACTCCAGCCTAGACAACAGAGTGAGACTCTGTCTCATAAATAAATTAATGTAAAGCTGCAGAATACAAATATTAACATACAAAAGAAGTATCATTTACGTACACCAACACAAAACAGTGTGGAGAGGAAATTTCAAAAGCAATTCCATTTGCAATAGAGACAAAACATAAATAAAATACCTAAGAATGAATTTAACCAAAGAAGTAAAAGATCTTACAATAAAAACTGTAAAACACTGTTGAAAGGAATTAAAGAATACAGATTATTTCATCACCCCGGTATTAAAGCCTAGTACCCATTAGTTATTTTTCCTCATCCTCTCCTTCCTCCTACCCTCCACCCTGCTGTTCCCCTCTATGTGTCCATGTGTTCTCATCGTTTAGCTCCCACTTAAAAGTGAGAACATGTGGTATTTGTTTTTCTGATCCTGTGTTAGTTTGCTAAGGATAATAAAAGTCTAAACAAAGAAATGAAAGAATACACAAAAATGGAAAGATATTCCATTCATGGATTGGAAGAATTAATATTTTAAAATGTGCTTAGTAAACAAAACAATTTACAGTCTCAAGGTAATCTCCATCAATATAAAAATTATATTTCTAACATGAATAAAAAAGCAATCCTAAAATTCGTATGAAACCAAAAAATAACCCCAAATAGCCTAAGCAATCATGAGGAAAAGAACCAAGCTGGTGGCATTACACTACCTGACTTCAAAATATACTACTAAGCTATAGTAATCAAAATAGCATGATATTGCTATAAAAACAACACATTGAACATTGGAACAAAATAGAGAATACAGAAATATATACACATATTTACAGTCAATTCATTTTTTACAAAGGCACCAACACCATGCATTGGGGAAAGGACTGTCCCTTCAATAATTGGTGTTGGAAAGATGGAAAATTCACATGCCAAAGAAGGAAACTAGACTCTTATTGCTCATCACATACAAAAAAAAAAATTAAAATAGATTAAAGAGGTAATTGTGGTATCTGAAACTGTCATACTACTAGAAGAAAATTTTGAGGAAATTCTTCAGGACACTGGTCTGGGCAAATATGTTTTGGTTATGGGAAGACTAAAAGCATAAACAAAAAAGTAAAAGCAGACAAATGGGATTATATCAGGCTAAAAGCTTTTACATAGCAAAGGAAAAGCACAGTGAAGAGATGAACTACAGAATGGAAGAAAAATATTTGCAAATCTCAACATAAGATTGGCACAAGAATATATGATGAACACAAAAAAGTGAACAGCAATAATAATGACAATACTACTACTACTACTACTAATAATAATAATACAATTAAAATAGGCAAATGATGTGGAGTATTTCTCAGAAGATATCAGTGGTCAACAGGTATGTAAAAAAATGTTCATTATCATGAATCATCAAAGAAATGTGAATCTAAACCAGAATGCATTATTATTTCATCCCAGTTAAAATGGCTATTATCCAAAATACAATAAACTTAAGGGATTTTAAAACTGATGACTAGAAATATTTTGTACTCACTTCCTCCATTAGAAAGAATCAAAACAAGGACATTATAATCAAACTTTAAATAGATCACCTAGGAGCAAACATTGGAATTCAACAGAGAAATAACTGGTAACTCTAATGTCAAGAAAAGAGAGATAAACAAGGGAGCCTGCTAGGCTAAGATTGACTGGGAGCCCACTGAGTCTCCCCAGTGTGAGCAAATAGTAAGTGAGTGACCAGTAGCAGTCCACATTTCCACCCCAGATTCCTGCTACGGGACAGCCCCTCAACCCACATGGGCCCTGAGACTAATATAGGAAGATCCCTCAATACCATATGACATCATTGCTTCAGAGTGGGAGCTCACACTGGATCTCATACACCCCGAGTTCTCAGAAGCTACAGCATGGTGCTGCATTGAGAACCCAGCCACCATCAGACTGCATCTTAACCTGGAGTCCAATAACTCCTGCATCTAAACATCCTGGAGCCTCACTGACATCCCCAATCCACAGCAAGTCAACACTGCCAGCTGTTTCTGCCACCATCAAAGCACATGTCATTATAGTTACCCTGCCACCCTCAGCAGCAGGACTGCCTTGCATTTGCAAGCACCCCAAAGACAGGCTACCCTGCTTGCAACCACCATTTAAAGCCAAAACACACACTCCTCATGCACCTGTTTACCACTGAAAGCAATGTTGCCCTACTCAGCAGCAAGGCTATAGCACAGCCACTGCTGTCTCCACCTCAGAATTTTGCTGGGTGGCTGGATGTCATCTCACCCCTGCCCCCCAAAGCCAGAAGGCACACTTGGAGGCCCGATGACAGGCCCAACGAGTCTGTCTCCACCCCTGCTCACAGTGCCTGAGCACACCGTCCAAAGGCCTGGGAATTGCTCAGCCTTATACATAACCTTTGGTGCCTGAGCACTCCTCTCCACCTGAAGATCGGCCCTCCCAGATGGGCCCTCCAAACCTGCCAGTGTCAGTAAAGTTGGAAACCACATATATCTACCATCACCAGGCATAGACACTGGCCCAACAAGACTATTGTAGCCACAACCAATACCAGCATAGACCACTTGAGACCCAGATGATTGTCCCTCCACTGCTACTGTCATCACCTATAGCAGACCTACTCCTCAGGGTCTCAAGGTCCTATGCACCTGCCCAATCTACTGCTGCCACTGCTGGCCTTCAAGAAAAGCCACCTGAAAGCCAAGAATTGGCCTGCCTTGACACACTAACACAAGTACCAGCGTATTCAGCCCTGGGACTCAAGAACAGGCATATTTGGCATGCAGCCGCCACCACTGAAGCCTGAGGACAGCTCATCTGATGTCCTCATTCTCATCAAAACTTTATCACAGCCTCTACTAACCACACCCTAAGCCACTAAGGAAATCAGGCACCACTGGTGCTATTTACAGCCAAAGTAATCATATGAAGACATAACTATTGCATGCACCCAGAACTGAAAGCAACAGCAGATTTCTCACAAAAACTTTACAGGTTGGTATAGAATTAGATGATATATTCAAAGTGCTGAAAGAAAACACTGTCAGCCAAGAATACTACATCCAGAAAACTTATTATTCATAGATGAAGGAGAAATACAGTTTTTCTCAGACAATCAAAACCTGAGGGAATTCATTACCATTAGACTGGCCACACAAAAAAATGTTTAAGAGAGTCTAACACCTGGAAGTGAAAGAACAATACCTATCATCATGCAAATGTAGGAAAGAAAAACCTACTGGTAGAGGAATCACACAAAGAAGAGAATGGACTCAACTATTAGCACTACAGAAAACCACCAAACCATAATGATAAAAATAGTGAAACAAATGAAAGATATACAAAACACAACCAGAAACCAATTAATAAAATGACAAAAATCAGATCTCATATATCAATCATAACCTTGAAAATAAATATTTAAACTTTTCACCTAAAAGATATAGACTGATTTTTTTCAATGACCCAACTATATGCTGTCTACAAGAAACTCATCTCACCTGTAAAGACATGTATGTAGGCTTAAATAAAAGGAATGAAAAAAATAATCTATGCAAACGAAATCCAAAAATGAGCAAAGTTAGCTATACTTTTATTAGATAAAACAGATTTCAAGTCAAAATCAGTAAAAAGAGATAAGAAAGATCAGTATACAATGATTAGGGGATCAATTCAGCAACAGAATATAACAATTCAAAATATATATGCATTCAACACCGGATAACTCACATATATAAAACAAATATTAGAGCTAACGGGAGATACAGACTTTAATACAATCATAGTTGGGGACTTCAACACCTCACTCTCAGTATTAGACACATGAAATAGAAAAAAATATTTATAAAGAAACTAGAATTTATGTTGTGCTTTAGATTAAATGCACCTAACAGGCACAGAACATTTCATCCAATCACTATAGAACACAAATTCTTCTCATGCACACATGAAACATTCTCTCAGCTAGAACATATGTTAGGACATAAAGTAATTCTCAGCTAATTTTAAAATATGAAAATCATATCAAGCATTTTCTCAGACCACAACAGCTAAAAATTAAAATTCAATAATAAGAAGAACTTTGAAAACTGTACAAATACAGTTAAATTGTACAACATTCTCCTGAATGAACATTGGGTCAAGAAAAATTTAAGGAAGAAATTTAAAAAGTCTTGACACATGAAAATTGAAACACAATATACAAAAATCTTTGGAGTACTGCAAAACCACTGCTAAGAGGGTAGAGTTTATAGCAATAAATGCCTTCATCAAAAAAGTAGAGAGATTTCAAATAAATAACAATGCATCTTAAGGAACTAGAAAAGTAAGAACAAACCAAACCCAGATTTGGAGAAAGAGACAAAGAATAAAGATCAGAGGAAACAAAACAAAATAGAGACTAAAAAATTAATACAAAGTATCAACAAAACAAAATTTGTTTTTTTTTTTGAAAATATAAGAAAATTTGATAAACTACTAGCTAGAATAACCAGGAAAAAAGACAGATGATTAAATAAATAAAATTAGATATGAAAATGGTGATCTACAACTGATACCGTAGAAATACAAACGTTATCAGAGATGATTATGAACTATACACTAACAAACTTGAAAACCTAGAGAAAACAAATAAATTCCTAAACATACCACTTACTGTGATTCAATCAGGAAAATGTAGAAAACTTGAACAGACCAATAATGGGTCATGAGATTGAACCCTAATAAAATTGCCCCAGTGAATAAAAGTCCAGGGTCAGTTGGTTTTACTGCCAACTTCTTCCAAACATAACAAAAAAATTAATACCAATTTTCTCCAAACTCTGACCAAAATTTGAAGAGGAGGGAATTCTCCCTTACTCATTCAATGAGTCTAACATTACCCTGATACTAGACAAGTATGCAAGAAATATGTGAAACCATAAAACAATATTCCTGATGAATACAGATGCAAAAATTTCCAACAAAATAGAAGAAAATAAAATCTGCACATCAAAAATGTAATAACACCATAATCAAGTGGAATTTATGCCAGGGATGCAAGGATGATTCAAGCTATGCAAAGCAATAAATATGATAAATTATATCAACAGATTGAGGGCCAAAAACCATATGATCATCTCAATAGACACAGAAAAAAACATTGGCAATACTCAACATCCCTTTATGATAAAAATTTTTCAACAAGCTAGGCATAGAAGGAACAAACCTCAACATAGTAAAGACAAAATATGAGAAACATACAGCTACCATGACACTGAATGGAGAATAGCTGAAAGTCTTTCCTGTAAGAACTGGAATAAGACAATGATCCCCACTTTCACCATTCCTACACAACATAGAGCTGTAAGTTCTAGCCAAAGCAATCAGGCAAGAGAAAGAAATAAAAGCATCCTAATTGGAAAAAGAGAAGGCACATTACCCCTCTTTGCAGATGGGATGATCTTATACATATAAAAACCTAAAAACCACCAAAACTTCTTATATGTGATAAACAGTTTCAGTGAATTTGCAGTATACAAAATCAACACACAGAATTTGTAATGTTTCTACATACCAATATTGAACTAGTTGAGAAAGAAATCAAGAAGGCAATCTCAAGTATAATAGCTACAAAAAATTCACCTACAAATAAATTTAACTAAGAAGGTGAAACACCTCTACAACCTCTACAAGGAAAACTACAAAACAATGATGAAAGAAATTTAACAAGACACAAAGAAAGGGAAAGACATCCCATGATCTTGGATTTAAAAAATTAATATTGTTAACATGGTCTTATGACATAAACCAATCTATAGATTCAGGGCAATCTTTCTCAAAATAGCAATGTCATTTATTCACAAAAATAGAAAAAATTAATGCTAAAGTTTTTATGAAACCAAAATAGAGCCTTGAGTGGTAAAAGTAATACTGAAGGTGATAAAATACTGGAGGCATTACACTACCTAGTTTTACAATATATTACAAAGCTATATAAATCAAAACAGCATGGTATAGTATAAAAACAGACACATAGTCCAGTGGAACAGAATAGAGAAGCCAGAAATAAATGGACATATTTACATTGAAATGATTTTTATTAAGGCCTCAAAAACATACATTGGAAGAAAGGTAATGATGCTGGAAAATTTAGATATCTATATGCAGAAAAAATAAAAATGGATCCATATCTCTCAACATATTCAAAAATCAACTCAAAATGGATTAATTACTTAAACATAAGACATGCATTTATAAAACTACTGAAGGAAAACATAGTGGAAACACTTCAGGACACTGGATCTAGGCAAAGATTTTATGGTTAAGACCTCAAAAGCACAGGCAACAGAAACAAAAATGAACAAATAAGACTATATTAAACCAAAACACTTCTGCACAGCAAAGGTAAGAATCAACAGAGTAAAGAGACAACTTGTTCAACGGGAAAAATATTTCACCTAAGAAGGGGCTAATATCTAGAATATACAAGGAACTTAAACAACTCAAGAGTAAAAAAGAAGCCAGCAAACAACAACAACAACAACAAAAAAAAAACATTTAAAAGTGGGCAAAGGACATATATAATCATTTCTCAAAAGAAGACATAAAAATGGCCAATACCCATATAAAGACAGTGTTCAACATTACTAATTTTCAGAGAAATGCAAATTAAAATCATAGTGAGAAATATTGTTACCTCAGTGAGAACCGATACTGTTAAAAAGTAAGAAATAATGTTGGCAAGGATGTGGAGTAAGGGAAGATCCTATTACTGGTTGTGGGGATCTAAATTAACACAGCCACTATGGAGAACAGTATAGATATTTCTAAAAAATCTAAAAATAGAACTACCGTACAATCCAGCAATCTCACTACTGGATATTTATCCAAAGGAAAAGAAATCAGTGGTCAACAAGGTACCTGCACCTCACAATGATTGCAGCACTATTCACAACATCAAAGTTATGGAATAAATGTAAGTGTCCATAAACAGACAAATGAATAAAGAAACATGGTTTATGTAAGTGTCCATAAACAGACAAATAAATAAAGAAACAATGGAATACTTTTCAGACATAAGAATGAAATCATATCATTTCCAGCAATATGGATGGAACTGAAGGTCATTATTTTAAGTGAAATAAGCCAAGCTCAGAAAGACAAATATCACATGTTCTCATTTATATATGGGAGATTTAAAAAGTTGATCTCATGGAGATAGAGAGAAGAATGATAGATGCCAGAGGCTGGGAAGAGTAGGGGTCATGTGGAAGAGGGGTTGGCTAATGGATACAAGGATACAGTTAAATAGAAGAAGTAATTGCTAATGTGTGATAGCAAAGTAGAGTGACTACAGTTAAAATAATGTACTGAATATTTCAAAATAGCTTGAAGAGAAGACTTGAAATTTTCCTAAAACAGAAATAATAAACATATGGAAACCCTAAATACTCTAACTTGATCATTACATATTCCATTCATGTAACATATTACATTCCTCATAAATACATATAAATATTAGGTGTAAATTAAATTTTTTTAAAAGAAAACAATAGGAGATTTGGCAAGGACATGGCGAAAGGAGAACTTTTATAATTTTTGGTAGAAATATAAATTAGTACAGGCATTATTGAAAATAATATGGAGGTTTCTCAAAAAACTAAAATAGAACTACCATATGACCCAACAATTTAGGATAGTGAGTATATATCCTAAAAAAAAAAAAAAAAAAGAAAGAAATCACTATATTGAGATCTCTGCACTCCCATGTTTATTGCAGCACTATTCACAATAGCCAAGATACAGAATCAACCTAAGTGTCCATCAATGAATGAATGGTTGAAAAAAATTGTTGTATATATACACAATGGAATACTATTCAGTCATAGAAAATAATGAAATACTTTTGTTTGCAGCAATATGGATGACCCAAAAGACATTATGTTCAGTAAATTAAGCCAGGAACAGATATACAAATATCACATGTTCTACATCACATATGAAACCTTAGAAGTTAATTATATGGAAGTAAAGTGTAGAATAGTTGTTGCCAAGGCTGAGGAGAATGTGAGTAAGGGAGGGATGAACAGAAGTTGATTATAAGTAGAAACATATAGATAGAATACATTCTAGCATTCAATAGCACAGTAAGGTTACTATAGTTATCCGCAACTTACTGTATGTTTCAAAATAACTAGAAGAGAAGATTTGAAGTGCTCTCAACACAAATAAATGATAGATATTTGAGATGATGGATATCTCAATTAACCTCATTTGATCACTACACACTGTATGTATATGTCACAACATCACTAGGTAATTTACAAATATCTATATTATTATGTGTCAATTAAAAACCCCAACAATTCAGGTAAAAGACAAAGATTGCCCTTGCTATAGTTTGCTGAGGATGATGGTTTCCAGCTTCATCCATGTCCCTACAAAGGACATGAACTCATCCTTTTTTATGGCTGCATATTATTCCGTGGTGTATATGTGCCACTTTTTCTTAATCCAGTCTAGACAGAAAACCAAACACCGCATGTTCTCACTAATAGGTGGGAGCTGAACAATGAGAACACTTGGACACAGTGTGGGGAACATCACATACCGAGTCCTGTTGTGGGGTGGGCAGAGGGGGGAGGAATAGCATTAGGAGACATAACAATGATGAGTTCATGGGTGCAGCACACCAACATGGCATATATATATATATATATATATATATATATATATATATATATATATATATATATGTAACAAACCTGCACGTTGTGCACATGTACCCTAGAACTTAAAGTATTAAAAAAAAGATAAAGGTTGGATTAAAAAGCAAAACTCCATTATATGCTTTTAACAAGAGACACAACTAAAACAAAAGAGAAGTTGAAAGTGAAAGACTGGTGAAAGATATCCATCCAAGCAATAACCAAAAGTGAGTAGAGCCATATAAACATAAAACAATAATAAATTTTGAGGCAAATAACATTTCTGGAAAGGAAGAAATCTATTTTATGACAATAAATTGTTCAAAAAGAGACAATAATTTAAGATCTGTCTTCAAAGCCTCAAAATATATAGAATAAAACTGCCAACTACACAGATAGTGAGAAAAATTCATGATTACAGTGTAAAATGTTCAGATACTACTCTGTGACTGACAGAATAAATATACCAACACTTCAGTAAGTATACAAAATTTGAACAATACAGTGAGAAAATCTGACCAAAGAATTAGTTCAGCCATTGTGAAAGACAGCATGGTGAATCTGCAAAGACCTAAACACAGAAATGCCATTTGACCCAGCATTGTCACTACTGGGTTATATACCCAAAGGAATATAAATCATTCTGTTATAAAGACACATGCATGTGTATGTTCATTGCAGCACTATTCACAATAGCAAAGACATAGAATCAACCTAAATGGCCATCAATAATATTATAGATAAATAAAATATGGTGCATATACACCATGAAATACTATACAGCCATAAAAAACGAGATCATGTCCTTTGCATGAACATGGATGCAACTGGAGGCCATTATTTTCAGCAAACTAACGCAAGAACAGAAAATCAATACCACATATTCTCACTTATAAGTGGGAGCTAAATGATGAGAACACATGGACCCATGGAAGTGAAGAACACACACTGAGGCCTTTCCAAGGGTGGAAGATAGGAATAGGGAGAGGATCAGGAAAAATAAATAATGGGTACTAGACTTAATACCTGGGTGAGGAAATGATCTGCACAACAAAGCCCCATGACACAAGTTTACTTTTGTAACAAACCTGCACTTGTACCTCTGAACTTAAAAGTTAAAAAAATAAGGCAAGAAAAAATTCTGCTATTTAAACAATAAGATTAAGGCATTATCCTATTCCTTGATACTAAAATTAATAATAATAATTAATAGTTATTTATCTAATGCTATGTAGTAGTCAGTTATAAGGGCTTTATATGTACTAACTCATTTTATCCTTATATAATTCTATGCAGTAGGCACTAGATTATATGTATTGTATATACAAGAAAATTGATATGTAAAGAAGAAGTTACATAAATTTTCCAAAGGCATATATTTAATACATGGCAAAGTCAAGATTTAAACCAAGGCAGTCTAACTCAAAGGGCAGTGTTCTTAATAGAGGCACTATACTGCTGAGGGTACATGAATTGTTAGAACTAGATTTTTATTTTTTAAGAAATGAATGAATTTATTGAACAAAATTAGTAAATATTCATTTCCAGAGGTTATGATTGCCTTAAACTCCTTTTAAATTTTTCTCCAGAAGCTTTTATGTCCACATCTTTTTGTAAGCTAGAGAGAGAAGTGAAACCTCTGACTACGAAACAGTGTTAATAAGACCAAACCTTTGACTTTATCAACTTATGCTCAAATCAGCCAAAAATCTAGTCCAAGGATCAGCTTGGAACTGAGCACTGTGGCATGAAAAGAAATGCAAAGGGTGCTTCATAAATGTATTTAATAATGAATGGTCATACACTGCATTTTAAGGATATTTCTAGTAAGATGTATGTGGATCAATGCCTGACCAAGTGTAGTTCAACAGCATTTATAATTAACTGAAACATAAAGTGATGATTAGATTAATGACTCCTATAGGTAGTGTTAATTTGGAAAGTAAAAAAGGCATCCAGAAATCAATATGTTAATGTATATAGAAACTATATATCTAGTTAGTTTCTATATTCAAGCTTACTAGAATTGTATACAAATTGTCTTGAAATAAGGCTCTTATGTTTGTTATTCTCATGAGTAAGATAATAAAACATTGTGACATACATTTACTAAACTTCTGTATTTACTTAGTTGAGGCTTTTAGACATCATATACAGATAAATGAGGTAATCTCAAAATCCTTCAGGCTTGAAATGCCATGTTTTGCTTTGAACACTTATGCTATATTTCCCTCAACACTTCATAGATTAATCATATTATCATCGCTTCATAGATTAATTAGATGGAACCCATTTGCAAAACTGAAACATTGCAGAAAAATGTTTTAAGGAGGAAGAAAGAGGAAAAATTAACTTCAGAATATAGAAAGTATAAAATGTTTCCCTAAATAAAGCTGTTCTGATATATCATTTAAATTCCTCCCCTTAAATTGTCATACCCACAAGCAACAATTCTCATTTATTCCTTTCTTGTTTCCTATACTCAATTTGTCTGTAGCTCATAACAAGTATGATAAACTGGAGAATGATAAAACACTGCTTATCTGAGAACTTTCTGCAAACTAAAACTGTTTGTAAAAACATTAGCCACTGCCACATTTTGGAGCCCTACATAAATTTTCTTTAAAACTTTCTTCAGAGAATTTGATCTTGCTTAATCTTTCTGAATAATATTTATATATTAATTCTACTTTCCCTAAATTATCTCCTTCCACAACTAATACAAGATATAAGCTGTTTCAAAATGTTTAAAAGAAGTTTATCTAGATCAATTTTAATTATAAAAGATCATATTTCTGATATAGATATAAAAATATAAATGAATTGCTCAAAGAAAGTTAAGACAGAGGTGAAAAAAATACCTATTAAATACAATTAATGAATCCTCTGAAACCCAATTACTTGCTCTTTTAAATTTCACAAAAATTTTTAATTCTTTCTTCTGGAAAATTTTGGCACCATTTACATTCTCTATAGTTATTAAAAAAGATTAAATTTGTCCTAATCATTTGTATAGGGGTTCAAATTGATCAATTTGCTGTTGTCTCTGTGAGAAAACCCTTTCTGTGATTGGTATAATACTACATATTCTAGACTTCATTTGTTTGTAAATCATGCCATCATAAAAAATAAGGCATACCTACTCCAAAATTCTATCTGTCATTTTCTCTATGTCAGCATAGCAAAAATACTGATTCAGTTTCTGAATCCATTTCCATTCACCTTGTCGTGTGTGGAAATTTTTTCCAACCCTAGTAAGTCTTAATTTTAATGTTTATATCTTTTTTTCGAGATTTCTTTAGAGAAATTTTTGTTGGCAATTGGAATAGCATGTATAGAGCTCCTAACCAGCCTTCATTTTAAATTAAAACCCTGTTTCGGCATGGTGGCTCACGTGCCTGTAAGCCCAACTCTGAGAAGCCAAGGCGGGGGAATCACCTGAGCCCAGGAGTTCGAGACCAGCCTAGGCAACATAGCAACACCCCATTTCTAAAAAATAAAGTGTAAAAAAATAAAAATTAGCCAGATGTGGTGGCCCACGCCTGTAGTGCCAGCTACTCAGAAGTCTGAGGCAAGAGAATGTCTTGAGCCCAACAGATCGAGTCTGCTGTGAGCCATTATGGCGCCACTGCATTCCTAGTCTGGGCAAAAGTGAGAAGACCTTATCTTAAAAAAAATAAAATAACAATAACAATAAATTAAAACCGTAATGCAGTCATTATCTATCATTATATTTACTATGTCATAATACTGTATGTTTTACTTTACATTTCAATGTGCCATATTTGCTTACTTCAGATAAAACCCTTGCATACTCTTTATTGCCTTATATGTTTTTGAATTACATTTTTTGTTGTACTTATACAATAGGCTCACATTCAGTTGCAGGAAATAATGCAGAGACCACATCTACTCCTTACCTAGTTTTTGCCAGTGCTGACATCTTGCAAAACCATAGTACAGTATCACAATTGGGATATTGACATTGATACAGTCATGATATCAACATACAGAACAATTCCAACACCACAGAGATTCCTCATGCTGCCCCTTTATAGTTACATCCACTTTCCTCACCTCCTTAATCTCTGAAACCATGGTCTGAAAATCTGTTCTCTTTTTTAAAAATATTGTTATTTTATAATATACAGAATATAATCTTGCTGTATGTAACCTTTGGAGATTGACTTTTTATGCTTAGCATAGTGTTCTGAAGAGTCATTCAAGTTGTTGTGCATATCAAAACTTTATTCCTATTTTATTAAGTATTATTCCATGGAATAGATATAGTCGTGTTTACTTAACCATTTATTAAGGGCATCTGAATTGTTTCCAGTTCTTAGCTATTATGAATTAAGATGCCATGAACACTCATGTACAAGTTTTTGTGTGAGAAAACTTCACATTTTTCTGGGATAAATGCCTACTAATGCATTTGCTGGGTCACATGGTAGTGGCTTGTTTAATTTTAAGACAATGCCAAACTGTTTCCAGAGTGGATATACCATTTCAAATTCCTGTTGATATTAAATGAGTGATCCAGTTTTTCTGCAGTTTTATCGGTATTTGTTGTTATCATTAATTTTCATTTTTGACATTCTGATAAGTATATAGTGATAACTCATTGTGGTTTTAATTGGTATTTGACTAAAATTGTTGAACAGTTTTTCATGCATTTATTTGCTATGTGTATGTCCTCTTTGACAAAATGTTATTTCATGTATTGTGCTTATTTTCTAAGTGGCTTGCTTTTTTTTCTGTTGAGTTTTGAGAATTGTTTATATATTCTGTCCTTTCTCACATATGTGGTTTGCAAATATGTTATCTCAGTCTGTAGCTTTTCTTTTCATTATTTTAATAGGAGAGTGCTTCCAAGAGCAAAGGTTTTTAATCTGATGAAACATAATTTATTCAACTTTCAATTTATAAACTATGCTTTTGGTGTTATATCTAAAAACTCTTGCCTTACCCTAGGTTCTGTTAAGTTCCTTCTTGTATATTTTCCTAAAATTTTTGTAACTGTACATTTAAATTGTGACCCATTTTGAGTTAACTCTTAGATAAGGTATAAGACTTACATTGAGATTTTTCTTCCCTCATTGGATATCCAATTGCTCCAGCACCATTTGTTGAAGAAAAACCTATTTTTTTTTCAGTGAATTGCTTTTGCCCCATATTTCCAGAAATCTATTATATGTGTGTGGGTCTTCTTTGGGTTTTCCTATTCTGTTCCCTTAATCTATGTGTCTAGTCTTCCTTCAATACTATACAATGTTGATCACAGGCAATATAAAAAAACTCCTAAAATTGGGTAGACCTATTCCTCCAACTTTACTTTTTCAAAGTTTTGAAAATTATCATATTCTTTTGCATTTCTATATAAGTCGATTTCAAATATCTTGTCAATATCTACAGATAAATCTTGTTGGAATTTTGATAGGAATTGTGTTAAAGCTGCATATCAATTTGGGGAGAATTCACATATTTACGATGCTGTGTCTTCATATCCGTGAATACAGTATGTCTTTTATTTAGGCCTTCTTTGAGTTATTTCATCAGCATTTTGCAGTTTTTAACATAAAAGTCTTAACATGTTTTGATAGATTTATACCAGAGCATTTCATCTTTTTAAGCAACTGTAAAATACATTGTATTTCTAATTTTGCATTAAATGGTGTTATATAGAAATACAACTCATTTTATAGGTTTGTCTTGCATTTGTTATATTGGTGAATTCACTTATCAGACTTAGGATTTCTTTTTCTTCATTTTCTTTGGGTTTTCTACATAAATAATCATGTCACCTAAAAATAGCGAGAATATTTTTTCTTCCTTTCCAAACTGTCTATCTTTTAATTCCTAGTCTTGCATATTTTCACTGGGTGGAATTTTCAGCACTATATTGAACAAAAGAGGTGGGAATGGATATTCTTGCTTTGTGCTATTGAATCTCAGGGGTAAAGATTTCAATCTTTTTATCATGATTATGAGCTTTTTTCATGATGAGTATGGAATTTCATAAAATGCTTTTTCAGAATAAATTAAAAGAATCACAAGATTGAATTATTTTCCATTATCGACTCACCTTTACTTACCTGAAATGAACCCCTATTGGTCATAGTGCTTAAATTTTTTTTATATGTTGATGAATTGTATTTGTTAGAACTTTGTTATAAATGTTTACATCTATATTTATGAAAAATATTGTTCTGTAGTGTTCCTTGTCAATATTCTTTCATCTGGTTTTCATATCAGGGTAATAATAGCTTCTTAAAATAATTTGGTTTTGTCCACTCTTCTACTTTCTGGAAGAGATCCTTCAGGTTTGGTGCTAATTCTTTTTAAAAGTTTTAATGGAATTACCCAGTCTGACCATCTGGGCCTGAGGTCTGTAGTGATATCTACTTCCTGTTATTGATAATTTTTTATCTTGTCTTTTTTTCTGTATTAGTCTCATTTTTTTTTTCTGTACTGATATTCTCTTCATTTCATTGATGTCTCATTTTATCTTGATTTCCCTTTGCTTGTTTTGGGTTTGCTTTACTATTCCTTCTCTAGATTTTTGAGGTAGGAGTTTAGATTGTTGAATTAAAACTTTTCCTTTTTTATGTAAGCATTTAGTGCTATAAATTTTCCTCTTGGCACTTCCTTAACTGTATTTTCAAAGTATTGAGAAGTTTTATTTTTATATTCCTTCAGGGCAATGTATTTTTGGTATTCCCTTGAGATTTGTTCTTTGACACATAAATTATTTAGAAGTCTATTGTTTAGTTTGTGTTTGGAGACTTTACCGTTATCTTTCTTATTGATTCCTAGTTTGATCCCATTGTGTTAAGTGAATATATTCTGTATTAATTGAAGGGAATACTTGTACACTGTTGGTGGGAATGTAAATTAGTATAAGCACTATGGAGAATATTTTGGGGGGTTCTTCAAAAACTATTTTAAATTTTTTGATGTTTGGTTTATGTTCCAGGATATGATCTATCTTGGTATATGTTCTATTGCACTAAAAAATGTTTAGAGGAGAAAAAGTTACGACTGTCAGTCAGACAAAATATCCTAACTTCCTACACAACTATCTATGACACCATCCCAAGGGGCAATGGAGTTGGTGTGTTTCATTACAGCTTGGTAAAAATGGAAGTCTAGGCTCCTTACTTGTTCCTTATGACCGTGAATGTGGTCAGGCTGCAGATTTTTTTGTGCTGTTTGTTTTAGTGTAGAGTGGTTGTTATCTAAAATTTCTCTGTATTGCCAGGATACCCCTTTCCTGGGCCTTTGTCCGGAGGAAGTGGGCTTTTGAGGTGTTGTTTATTTATTTCTTGATTTTTGCTTGCCCATGTTGGTTTTTCTGGGTTGCTAGCTTCTTCAGCTTCAAATATGGAACATATGAGGGAAATTATAACCCAGGGAACTAACATGTAGATTTTAGGCTCCTGAAGTTCCCAAATAGGGTGCCTTCTCTCCACCCTTCAGGGTTTAATAATGTTCATTTTGTATATAAATGTTCAAGGACATTTAGTTGGAAGACAAGGGAAAATATGTATATTCTATTTTCCCTGACTTCTGTATTTTAACTCAGAAAACTGTCCTCAAACATCATCATGCTATGATTATGTCTGTCATACTTAATCTGAGAGGGAATGGTCAACTTTCTACAATTAAAATATTCTACTAGGTTGTGTTGACATAGTTATTTCTGAATAGTGTCATGGTGAAAGGAGTTTTTAAATTTCTATCCTTTACTACTGGACCAAAAAATAGGTACAATAATACTTCTTTAACAACCCCATTAAGCAAATAATCTGATCCTTAGATGCAGGTGTTCAGGAAGTGGCAGCTGCTTCAGCATTTCATATCCAACGTATCTATATTTTCAGATCTTAGAAAAGTAATAATACCCTGCATGAGTCCAGAACATACATACATTTTTAATTCAACATGTATTGTTTCCAGAAAATAGAAAAATAAATAGAAAATATCTCCTCTGTTTGGCAAATTGAAATGGCAAAGACACTATTATTTTATTCGTCTTGTCACTGACAGAGAATCTAGAAAGATAACTCTTGTGTTGTAACTCACTAACAGCTGATTTTATTGCAAGGCAAGCATTGCTCAATTCCTAGGATCAACAAGGATAGTATTAGAACATTTTTTCCACTATTTTAATAACCACAGCCATGTTTACTCATGGGAAAGAAAGGGCAGAAGAAGAGAAATTCCTAGAATCTGTGTGACCATCAAAAATATCATTCCTGTGGGTGACCACAATTTTAAAAGCTATCATATTCTGCAGAAAAACTGAATAATTAGGGAGATATCTGGCTCCTTTGGTTGAGAAATTATATTCAGAGAAAATTATATAGCTGACTACTGATTTGGATACTGAGTATGTTTTCTATATATATTGATTTGTATTTTTTAAGGATAATAGGGGCCTGAAATATTCAATTAAATATTCAGTGAAGTATTTAATGTATTTTTAAAAGCCAACTTCAAAATTATTATGAATCTAGATCCTTATTTGCTATGCTAAATTAGGCTAATAGAAAAAAATAATTTAAAAGATCACTTTCAAAATAGAAAACAAATTACAGCTATTTTGTCATAGTGATTCTATTCAAGCTTCTTATGTTGATGTTGAAACAGTATTTTAGAGTACTGTATACCTTCAGGCTGATTTTATCCTTATGAACTACAATTAATCTTGGAATTAACTGTCTTTAATCTCTGAGAACGTATTTATCTCTACATATTTTTTAATGTGATGTAAGATTGTACAATAAGATAGCACAATAATAATAATTATATTTTTTTGTCTGGTTTTGTTTTTTAATCTTGATTATGCCCACTAAGGCATACATGCTTTCATTGATAATATTAATTTAAGGCTAAAATTTCAAATAAAATATTTTTAAAAATCTAAATTTTATAACTGATAATTTCTTCCCTTAAAAATTACTGCCGGGTTATAAAACAATCTTGTTTTAAACCTACATGTGGACAATGATTGCTCCCTAGTCCCAATAAAATACTTTGCTTCTCTTAAAGTAACTAAAATAATCACACAAATTGGAATAATTAAGCAGCAGATTTTCACAGAATGAAGAAAGAATGATTGCATTCTTTGATCAAAAGTGAATGAAAAACTCATGAAAAAGATTAGTATTATTGGCATAAGAAATATATCATGAAGTTACCACACAAGCTGGTAATTTACAAATATCAGTGTTTATCAAATTTTTGTGTTCAAGTTTCTTTGAAGCAAAAAACACTCCAAATTTATTAGTGCATATAATTGAGTAAGACATAGATTAATTGCAACTAGGCCTACACACTTCTCTTATTCCCATTTCTTCACTATGATAAAAGTATGTGTAGTGAAATTGCCATTATAATTTTTTTCATTTTAATTGACCCATAATAACAGTGCATATTTAGGGAGTATAATATGATGTTTGGCTACAGGTATACTTTGTATAATGATCAAATCAGGGTAATTAGCATATTCATCACCTCATATGTTCGTCATTGCTTTGTAGTGAGAACATTCAAAATCCTCTCTTCTGGTGTCCGATTGCACAGTAGGTTGAGTATAGTTAACAATAATGTTTTGTATACTATAAAATTGCCATTCTCTTTTGTCAAAAATTGCGGTCAGTGCAACTTTGATTTTGTTTGAGAAACAAAACCATCATCAAATCATAAGACTCTGTTGTAAAAATTGGGCTCACTTAATTTTTTAGCTCAATTTCATAATTTACACACTTGTTTAATGCTGATATTTATAAGATCCCTATAGCAGAAATAGAACCTTTTTCTTAAGAAATGTTCATTATTGTACCTACTGAAAAGCTGCTGCCCCCCAAGCTTACTTTTCGGAAAGGCAATATATTCATTCCTTTTTTTATTTATCCATTTGCTTCTCTATATTATGGTTTAGGTATGTTGTTAAGCCCTAAAAAAGAATACTAAGTTGAATATGATATGCTTGCTTCTAGCAAATATTTCTGGTCTGGTCAAAAAAATAAGGTTACTATAATACAATATAATAACTACTTTATATACAATGTAAACCAAATGATAATAAAAACAAGCCAGAAAAACTGTTTTCCTGGAAACATCAGGGGACATCTTAAAGAGGAGGTAGTGTTTTAACTGGGTTTTAAAGAATGAACGCAATTTCACTTCACCATAAGAAAGAGAAGGGACGTACCATGCAGATGGAATGGCCTATGTGAAAACACACAAAGACTTGAAGAATCATGCTGTAGGTGTTGAAATGGCAAGATTCCAATGTGTGTGTTGAGACTGATACTGAGATTCTGGAATAGACAAAAACTAGATTGCAATGTGAATTCTCTGAACAATTATTATCGTTAGTGACCTACCAGCCGCAATCATATCAACTATTTTCTCCTGAAACTCTCCTTATGAATGTCTCCCCTCTCTACTATTTTGATAGACTTAGAAGGGTCAATAAATGGGATTCATTTTGTAGAATGCTTTCATGAGTCTTAGCTTCCAATGGCATTGTAATTCTTTCAGGTTTAACATATTACTTGAGGTTGGTAGTGTAGATAAATATGATTTCTCAGAAGGGAAGTAAAATGGGCCATTAAAAACTTAACACAAATTAGCTTATTCAGCGTAATTGACAGCACACAGAAGGACCATAAGGGATTTGAGACATGAGGCAGACCCATTTTAATGCAAATGAAAAGAATCAAAAGTGTGCAGACCTGGGTTGCTTTTCAGTCAGGGCAAACCTAACCAGAAAACCAAAATAGACGTTTTGGATAATCTAAGAAGCAAAAAGAGGCTTTTAGGCCGGGTGCGGTGGCTCACGCCTGTAATCCCAGCACTTTGGGAGGCCGAGGCGGGCGGATCACGAGGTCAGGAAATCGAGACCATCCTGGCTAACATGGTGAAACCCCGTCTCTAATAAAAATACAAAAAAATAATTAGCCAGGCGTGGTGGCGGGCGCCTGTAGTCCCAGCTACTCGGGAGGCTGAGGCAGGAGAATGGCGTGAACCTGGGAGGCGGAGCTTGCAGTGAGCCGAGATCGCACCACTGCACTCCAGCCAGGGCGACAGAGCGAGACTCCCTCTCAAAAAAAAAAAAAAAAAAAAGGCTTTTAATGATCAAAACTGAGGAAGTCACTAAAACAGTGATTTGGGAGTCCTAAAACTAAATGTTATTCAGTTATGACAGACCAGTCCCAGGCTCTTTCTGATTTAAGACTGGAGAGAAAGACAAACTGCCTTCACTTTGGTTTACTATCACAGTGGCAGATAAGAGGTGCAAAAGAGTCACATCACATTAAGTTTATAGAAGTGAATGTGGTTCGCTGCTGTTTTCCTTTATTATTATTATTATTTTTATTTCAGACAGAGTTTCACTCTTGTTGCCCAGGCTGGAGTGCAATGGCGCAATCTCAGCTCACCGCAACCTCTGCCTCCAGGGTTCAAGCGATTCTCCTGCCTCAGCCTCCTGAGTAGTTGGGATTACAGGCATGCACCACCATGCCCAGCTAATTTTTAATTTTTTTTTTAAGTAGAGATGGGGTTTCTCCATGTTGGTCAGGTTGGTCTCAAACTCCTGACCTCAGGTGATCCACCTGCCTTGGCCTCCCAAAGTGCTAGGATTACAGGCATGAGCCACCATGCCTAGTTTTCCTTTATTCCTTATAAAAGCAAGTTTCATTTCTTGGTCAAAGCAGCCAGTAAGTGACCCTTGTCCACAGGTGAGGGAGGGCGCCCAGAACTACAGGTACTTAGCCTCTGTTTTTTTGTTTTTTATTTTCTGAGACAGATTCTTGCTCTGTCACCCAGGCTGCAGTGCACGGAGTGCAGAGATGGGATCTCTGTTCACTGCAACCCCTGCCTCCTGGGTTCAAGCGATTCTCATGTCAGCCTCCCAAGTAGCTGGGACTATCAAGCTTCATCTTCTTATGGCTTGATAACGCAGTTCTTTTTAGCACTAAATAATATTCCACTGTCTGGAGGTACCACAGGTTGTCTATCCACTCATGTATTGAGGGACATTTTGATTATTTCCAAGTTTGGGCAGTTATGAATAAAGAAACTATAAATATTTGTGTGCAGATTTTTGTGTCAACATATGTTTTCAATTTATTTGGGTAAATACAAGAAGCACAACTACTCAATCATATGGTAAGAGTATGTTTAAGTTTGTAAGAAACTGTCAAAATGTCTGCCAAGTAACTGCATTATTTTGCATTGCCATCAGCAAGGAATGAGAATTCTTGTTGCTCCAAATCCTCTTTAGCGTTTGATGTTGGAAGTGTTTTGAAACTTGGCCAATGTAATACGTGCGTAGTGGTATCTAGGTGTTGTTTTCATTTGCAGTTTCTTAATAACATATGATAGTGAATATCTTTTCGTATGTTTATTTGCCATCTGCTTGTCTTCTTCTATGATGTCGATTCCATTTGCCAACTTTTCTTTTTATTTATTTTTGTATTGTCTTTTTTTTGCAAACAAAATGCCACTTTTTAATCTCTTAAAACTAATATATCTCAGGCTCTTATGATTTCAATGGTCTCATTTCAGTTTAAATATCTAGTTTATTCAAAGTTCCCCTCCCTCTGACAAGATCCTTAATTGGCTCCCAGCTAATTATTTCTCCTCACCGTAGAGCATGCAGAAACAGCAAGATTCCTCCATGTGACCCTGATACAGTGAGAAACTTGTGAAAGCCAGACACCTCACCCCTGCCCTTTGGCTTACCTGTCCATACCCTGTGTCTTCTCTGGGGCACCTGGTGCCTGAGGACTGGGGCAGATCAGCCTGAGAATAGGTGTTGCTCAGAGCTGTGAGTGTGAGTGTAGGTGCCCCTAATTTGGGGACACACAAATCTGCTTAAAACACCTCTTCATTTGGGAGCTTTGGCCCAAAGAGGAAAGCCTTAACCCAGCCTTTCTATCTGTAAGAAAGGAAGGCACAGAGAGGGCAGCAGCCTCTACTTGAGATGACATTGTCAGGATAAAAAGGCCTCCAAGAAGACCTTTGATGAAATTATTATTCTGCGAAGAATGCAGCCCAGGGAAGAGGTTTACATGTAGAGAGAAGAGCTAATACAAAGACAAATTTATAAATTGGAAGTTAATTTACATGTTGTTTAATGTTAAGAGTTATTTGTATATTTTGAATAACAGTTCTTTATCAAATATGTATTTTGCGAATATTTTCTTCCAGTCTATGGCTTAGTTTTCCATTCTCTTCATATTGTCTTTCACAGAAGAGAAGTTTTCACTTTAATGTAATTCGGTGTCTTGATTGCAGACAGAGCAAGATAGTAGTATAGAAGGCACCATCAATTGCTCCCCCAACAAGGACACCAATTTAACAACTATCTACACTACAAAATCACCAACATAATAACCAAAAATCAGGTGAGCACTCAAAGTTGCTGGTTTTAACTTAATATTGCTGAAAGAGGCATTGAAGAGGTAAAACAAACTGTCTTGAATGGCTGATGCCACCCCTCCCTTATTCCCCAGCAGCAGCAGCATGATGCAGAGAGCATTTCTGGGCACTGGAGGAGGGAGAGTGCAGTAAATGTGAGGCCTTGAATTCAGTGCTGTCCTGTTACAGCAGAAAGGAAAACTGGACAGAATCTAGCTGACTCCCATCCATGGAGGGAGCATTCAAACCAGCCCTAGCCAGAGAGGAATCACCAATACCAGTGGTCAAAATTCGAGTTCCCACAAGTGGTGCCACCATGGGCTAAAGTGCTCTGAGTCTTTAAATAAACTTGAAAAACCATCTAGGACCTAAGGACTGCAACTTTTTGACAAGTCTTAGTGCTGAACTTGGCCCAAAGACAGTGGATTGGGGGTCACATGACCTTCTGAGACACCAGCTGGGGCAGCTAGGGAAGTGCTGGCATCATCACTCCTTTAACCTGAGGCTGCATAGCTCGTGGCTCCGAGGGGGGAGCCCTTCCTTACACTTGAGGAAAGGAAAGAGTGAAGAGTACTTTATTTCACATCTCGAATAACAGCTCAGTCAGAAGGATAGGGCACCAGTAAATGTCATGAAGATCTGATTCCAGGCCCCATGTCCCAGATGACATTTCTAGACATGTCATCTGACAGAAGGGAACTCACTGCCTTAAAGAGAAGGACACAGTCCTGGCAGCATTTATTATTTGCTAACTGGAGAGACTTTGGGCCCTGAATATCCAGCAGCAATACACAGGAACTATGTTAGGGCGTTGGGTGAGACTCTAAGACTTCTGGGCTTAAGGTGAGACTCATTACATTACCAGCTGTGATGGATGTGGGGAGAAACTCCTTCCACTTGAGAAAAGTAGAGGGAAAAGTAAAGGGGAGTTATCTTGCACTTTAAGTACCAGCTCCTCCATGCAGGAGTACAGCACCAAGAGAGGTCTCGAGGAACCTGATTGCAGTATTTGGCTCTTGGATGGTATTGCTGGAACTTCTCTGGGGAAAGGGAGCCCACTACTCTGAAGGATGAATACTAGGCCAGCCATCAGTCACAACAAGCTGACTGAAGAGCTCTTGGGCCTAAAAGGTACATTGAGGGTAGTCTGACAGTACTCTTCTTGGGCCTGTGGTGGTAGTGCCCATGGGGCAAGGCTCTTCTGCCATTGGAAAAGGTAGGGAAGAGTGGGAAGGTCTCCATCTTGTGGTTTGAGTGCCAGTTTAGCAGTACAACAGAATATTAGGTAACTTTTAAGGTTTTAAACTCTAGTCCCTGGCTCTCAGGCAGCATCTCTGGACCTACATAAGGCCTGGAGGAACTCACTGCCCTGAAGTGAAAGACACAGGCCTGTCTGGCTTACCACGTGCTAATTGTAGAGCCTAACGGCCTTGAGCAAACATAGGCAGTAGCCAGGGAGACATCACAGCAGGCCTTAGGTGAGACCCAGTGTTGTGCTGGGTTCAGATCTGAGCCAGGGGAGTCTTAGTTGTGGTGGCCACAGGGGTACTTGTGTCACTCCATCCAATGCTTCAAGGAGTTGAAAACAAGGAGAGACGCTCTGTTTATTTGGGAGCAAGTAAGGGAAGAGAACACAAGTTTCTGCCTGGTAATCCAGAGAGTTCTTATGGATCTTGTCCAAGATCATCAAGGCAGTATCTCTAAAAGTCTGCAAGAACCACAGCATTACTGGACTTGGGGTGCCCCCTGAAGCAGATATAGTTTAGATCACAACACCTAAGTTTTTTTTTTTAATATCCAGACAACTTTCTAAAGAAGGGGAAGTTCAAAAGCCCAGACTGTGAAGACTACAATAAATGCCTAACTCTTCAATGGTCAGACAGAGATGAACATCTACAAGTACCAAGACGATTCAGGAAAACACGATCTCACCAAATGAGCTAAATAAGGAACCAGAGGCCAATCCTGGAGAAACAGAGATACATGTCCCCTCAGACAAATAATTCAATATAGCTGTTTTGATGAAACTCAAATAAATTCAAGATAACACATAAAAGGAATTCAGAATTCTAATCAGATAAATTTAACAAATAGATTGAAATAAATAAAAAGAATCAAGCAGAATTCTGGACTGAAAAATGCAATTGGCATACTGAAGAATGCATCAGAGTTTTTTAACATCAGAATTGATTAAGCAGAGGAAACCACTAGTGAGCTTGAAGACAGGCTATTTGAAATTACACAGTCAGAGGAAACAAAGGACAAAAGAAGAAAAAATAATTAAGCACACTTACAGGATGTAGAAAATAAACTCAAAGGAGTTAAATTAATAGTTATTGACATTAAAGAGGAGGTAGAGGAAAGTGCATGGGTAGAAATTTAGTAGAGAACTTCACAAATCCAGAGAAAGATATAAATATCCAAGTACAATAAAGATATAGAATACTAAACAGATTTAATCCAAAGATTAGCACAAGGTATTTAATAAAAACTCCTAAGGATGCAGGATAAAGAAAGGACTCTAAAAACAACAAGAGAAAAGAAACAAATAACATAAAATGGAGTTACAATATGCCTGGCAGAAGACTCTTCAGTGGAAACCTTAAATGCCAGGAGAGAATGGCATGACATATTTAACATGTTGAAGGAAAAAAAACTTTTACCCTAGAATGCTATATCCAGTGAAAATAACCTTCACACATGAGGGAGAAATAAAGACTTTTCCCAGACAAACAAATGCCGAAAGATTTCACCAACACCAGATAGATGTGTGTTATGACAAATGCTAAAGAGAGTACTTCAATCAGAAAAAAAAAGACAGTAATAAATAATAAGTAATTATCTGAAGGTACAAAGCTCACTAGTAATAGTACACAAATAAACAGAATATTATATCATTGTAACTGTGGTGTGTCAGTAAACAAAGAAACATAGAATATTATATCACTGTAACTGTGATGTGTAAAATTACTTTTATCATAAGTAGAAAGAGAAAATGATGAAATAATAAAAAAATACAACATTTAAAGACATAGATAGTACAAGAAGATGTAAACAGAAGCCACAACATTTGAAAAGCAGGGGCATAAAGTAAAGGCATAGAGTTTTTATTAGTTTTCATTTACTTGTCTGTTTATGTAAACAGTGTTAAGTTACTATCAGCTTAAAAATAATAGGTTACAGTATAGTATTTGTAAGCCTCATGGTAACTTCAAAACAAAAATTATATAAAAGATACACACACACACACAAAAAAAAACTAAGTTATATTAGTAGAGAAAATCACCTTCACTAAAGGAAGACAGGAAAAAAAAAGAAGAAGGAAAAGACCAGAAAATAAATAACAAAGTGGCAGGAGTAAGTCATTGTTTATCAAGAATAATGGTGAATGTAATGGATGAAACTCTACAATCAAAAGACATAAATGGCTGATAAAAAACAAGACTCAAAGATCTGTTGCCTACAAGAAACACACTTCATCTATAAAGGCACACACAGACTGAAAATAAAGAGATGGAAAAAGATATTCTATGCCAATGGAAAGCAGATAAAAGCAGGAGTACTTCTATCAGACAAAAGAGATTTCAAGACAAAAATTATAAGAAGAGACAATGAAGTTGTGTTCCAAGAAGGCCAAATAGGAACAGCTCTGGTCTCCAGCTCCCAGCGAGATCGATGCATAAGACCGGTGATTTCTGCATTTCCAATTGCGGTATCTGGTTCATCTCATTGGGACTGATCGGAAAGTGGGAGCAGCCCTCAGAGGGTGAGCCGAAGCAGGGTGGGGCATCACCTAACCCAGGAAGTGCAAGGGGTCAGGGGATTCCCTTTCTTAGCCAAAGGAAGCCATGACAGACTGTACTGGGAAAATCAGGACACTGCCAACTAGACACTATACTTTTCCAACGGTCTTATCAATGGCACACCAGGAGATTATATCCCATGCATGGCTCAGCGGGTCCCACACCCATGGAGCCTTGCTCACTGCTACTCCAAGATAGAACTGCAAGGCAGCAAGCCTGGCTGGGGGAGGGACTTCCAACATTGCTGAGGCTTGAGTAGGTAAACAGAGCGGCTGGGAAACTCCAACTGGGTGGAGCCCACCACAGCTCAAAGAGGCCCTCCTGCCTCTGTAGACTCAACCTCTAGGGGCAGGGCATAGCTGAACAAAAGACAGCAGAAACTTCTTCAGACTTAAATGTCCCTGTCTGACAGGTCTGAAGAGAGCAGTGGTTCTCCCAGCACTGTGTTTGAGCTCTGAGAACAGACAGACTGCCCCCCTCAAGTGGGTCCCTGACCCCCATGTAGCCTAACTTGGAGACACCTTCCAGTAGGGGCCAACTGACACCTCATACAGCCAGATGCCCCTCTGAGATGAAGCTTCTAGAGGAAGGATGAGGCAACAATATTTGCTGTCCTGCAGCCTCTACTGGTGATACCCAGGCAAACAGGGTCTGGAGTGGACCTCCAGCAAACTCCAACAGACCTGCAGCTGAGGGACCTGACAAACAGAAAGGAATAGCATCAACATCAACAAAAAGGACAACCACACCAAAACCCCATCTATAGGTCACCATCATCATAGACCAAAGGTAGACAAAACCACAAAGATGGGGAGAAACCAGAGCAGAAAAGCTGAAAATTCTAAAAACCAAGTGCCCCTTCTCCTCCAAAGGATCTCAGCCCTTCACCAGCAGTGGAACAAAGCAGGATGGAGAATAACTTTGATGAGCTGACAGAAGTAGGCTTCAGAAAGTTGGTAATAACAAACTTCTCCAAGCTAAAGGAGGATGTTTGAACCCATCGCAAGGAAGCTTAAATCTTGAAAAAATATTAAACGAATGGCTAACTAGAATAAACAGTGTAGAGAAGACCTTAAATGACTTTATGGAGCTGAAAACCATGGCATGAGAACTACATGACACATGCACAAGCTTCAGTAGCCGATTCGATCAAGTGGAAGAAAGGTTATCAGTGACTGAAGATCAAATTAATGAAATGAAGCAAGAAGTTTAGAGAAAAAAAGAGTAAAAAGAAATGAACAAAGCCTCCAAGAAATATGGGACTATGTGAAAAGATCAAATTTACATTTGATTGGTGTATCTGAAAGTGACAGGGAGAATGGAACCAAGCTGGAAAACACTCTTCAGGATATTATCCAGGAAAGCTTCCCCAGACTAGCAAGACAGGCCAACATTCAAATTCAGGAAACATAGAGAACACCACAAAGATCCTCCTTGAGAAGAGCAACTCCAAGACACATAATTGTGAGATTCACCAAGGTTGAAATGAAAAAAAAAATGCTAAGGGCAGCCAGAGAGAAAAGTCGGGTTACCCACAAAGCAAAGCAATCAGACTAACAGTGGATCTCTTGGCAGAAACCCTACAAGCCAGAAGAGAGTGGGGGCCAATATTCAACATTCTTAAATAAAAGAATTTTCAACCCAGAATTTCATATCCAGCCAAACTAAGCTTCATAAGTGAAGGAGAAATAAAATCCGTTACTGACAAGCAAATGCTGAGAGATTTTGTTGCCACCAGGCCTGCCTTACAAGAGCTCCTGAAGGAAGCACTAAACATGGAAAGGAACAATCGGTACCAGCCACTGCAAAAACATGCCAAATCGTAAAGACCATTGATGCTAGGAAGAAACTGCATCAACTAGGGGGCAAAATAACCAGCTAACATCATAATAACAGGATCAAATTCACACATAACAATATTAACCTTAAACTTAAATGGACTAAATGCCCCAATTAAAAGACACAGACTGGCAAATTGAATAAAGAGTCGAGACCCAGCAGTGTGCTGTATTCAGGAGACCCATCTCATGAGCAGAGACACACATATGCTCAAAATAAAGGGATGGAGGAAGATCTTCCAAGCAAATGGAAAGAAAAAAAAAAGCAGGGGTTGCAATCCTAGTCTCTGATAAAACAGACTTTCAACCAACAAAGATCAAAAGAGACAAAGAAGGCCATTATATAATGGTAAAGGGATCAATTCAACAAGAAGAGCTAACTATCCTAAATATATGTGCACCCAATACAGGAGCACCCAGATTCATAAAGCAAGTCCTGAGAGACCAAAAAATAGACTTAGACTCTCACACAATAATAATGGGAGATTTTAACACCCCACTGTCAACATTAGACAGATCAATGAGAAGGAAGGTTAACAAAGATATCCAGGACTTGAAATCAGCTCTGCACCAAGCAGACCTAATAGACGCCTGTAGAACTCTCCATCCCAAATCAACAGAATTTACATTCTTCTCAGCACCACATTGCACTTATTCCAAAATTGACCACATATTTGGAAGTAAAGCACTCCTCAGCAAATGTAAAAGAAAAGAAATCACAACAAACTGTCTCTCAGACCTCAGTGCAATCAAATTAGAACTCAGGATTAAGAAACTCACTCAAAACCAAACAGCTACATGGAAACTAAACAACCTGCTCCTGAATGACTACTGAGTACATAACGAAACGAAGGCAGAAATAAGGATATTCTTTGAAACCAACGAGAACAACGACACAACATACCAGAATCTCTGAATCTCTGGGACACATTTAAAGCAGTGTGTAGAGGGAAATTTGTAGCACTAAATGCCCACAAGAGAAAGCAGGAACGATCTAAAATTGACACCCTAAAATCACCATTAAAAGAACTAGAGAAGCAAGAGCAAACACATTCAAAAGCTAGCAGAAGGCAAGAAATAACTAAGATCAGAGCAGAATGAAGGAGATAGAGATACAAAAAACCCTTCAAAAAATCAGTGAATCCAGGAGCTGGTTTTTTGAAAAGATCAACAAAATTGATAGACCGCTAGCAAGACTAATGAAGAAGAAAAGAGAGAAGAATCAAATAGATGCAATAAAAAATGGTAAAGGGGATATCACCACCAATCCCACAGAAATACAAACTACCATCAAAGAATACTATAAACACCTCTATGCAAATAAACTAGAAAATCTAGAAGAAATGGATAAATTCCTGGACACATACACCCTCCCAGGACTAAACCAGGAAGAAGTTGAATCTCTGAACAGACCAATAACCGGCTCTGAAATTGAGGCAATAATTAGCAGCCTACCAACCAAAAAAGTCCAGGATGAAACGGATTCACAGCCTAATTCTACCAGAGGTACAAAGAGGGGCGGGTACCATTCCTTCTGAAACTATTCCAATCAATAGAAAAAGAGGGAATCCTCCCTAACTCATTTTATGAGGCCAACATCATCTTGATACCAAAGCCTGGGAGAGACACAACAACAAAAAAGAGAATTTCAGACCAATATCCCTGATGGTCATTGATGCGAAAATCCTCAATAAAATACTGGCAAACTGATTCCAGCAGCACATCAAAAAGCTTATCAACCATGATCAAGTGGGCTTCAGCTTTGGGATGCAAGGATGGTTCAACACACACAAATCAATAAATGTAATCTGTCACATAAACAGAACCAAAGACAAAAACCACATGATTATCTCAATAGATGAGGAAAAGGCCTTTGACAAAATTCAATGGCCTTTCATGCTAAAAACTGTCAATAAGCAAGGTATTGATGGAACGTATCTCAAAATAATAAGAGATATTTATGACAAACCCACAGCCAATATCATACTGAATGGGCAAAAACTGAAAGCATTCCCTCTGTAAACTGGAACAAGACAGGGATGCTCTCTCTCACCACTCCTATTCAACATAGTGTTGGAAGTTCTGGCCAGGGCAATCAGGCAGGAGAAAGAAATAAAGGGTATTCAATTAGGAAAAGAGGAAGTCAAATTGTCCCTGTTTGCAGATGACATGATTGTATATTTAGAAAACCCTATCATCTCAGCCCAAAATCTCCTTAAGCTGATAAGCAACTTCAGCAAAGTCACAGGATACAAAATCAATGTGCAAAAATCACAAGTATTCTTATACACCAATGACAGACTCAGAGAGCCAAATCATGCATGAACTCCCATTCACAATTGCTACAAAGAGAATAAAATACCCAGGAATCCAACTTACAAGGGATGTGAAGGACCTCTTCAAGGAGAACTACAAACCACTGCTCAACGAAATACAAGAGGACACAAACAAATGGAAGAGCATTCCATGCTCATAGATAGGAAGACTCAATATCATGAAAATGGCCATAGTGCCCAAGGTAATTTATAGATTCAATGCCATCCTCGTCAAGCTACCAATGACTTTCTTCACAGAACTGGAAAAAACTACTTTAAAGTTCATATGGAACCAAAAAGAGCCAGCATTGCTAAGACAGTTGTAAGCCGAAAGAACAAAGCTGGAGGCATCACACTACCTGACTTCAAACTATACTACAAGCCTATGTAACCAAAACAGCATGGTACTGGTACCAAAAAAGATATATAAACCAATGGAACAGAACAGAGCCCTCAGAAATAACACCACACATCTACAACCATCTGATCTTTGACAAACCTGACAAAAACAAGAAATGGGGAAAGGATTCCGTATTTAATAAATGGTTCTGGGAAAACTGGCTGGCCATATGTAGAAAGCTGAAACTGGATCCCTTCCTTACACCTTATACAAAAATTAATTCAAGATGGATTAAAGACTTAAATGTTAGACCTAAAACCATAAAAACTCTAGAAGAAAACCTAGGCAATGCCATTCAGGACATAGGCATGGGCAAGGACTTCATGTCTAAAACACCAAAAGCAATGGCAACAAAAGCCAAAATTGACAAATGGGATCTAATTAAACTAAAGAGCTTCTGTACAGCAAAGGAAACTACCATCAGAGTGGACAGGCAACCTACAGAATTGGAAAAAATGTTTGCAATCTACCCATCTGACAAAGGGCTAATATCTAGAATCTACAAGGAACTTAAACAAATTTATAAGAAAAAGACAACCCCATCAAAGAGTGGGCAAAGGATATGAACAGACACGTTTGAAAAGAAGGCATTTATGCAGCCAACAGACACATGAAAAAGTGCTCATCATCACTGGTCATCAGAGAAATGCAAATCAAAACCACAATGAGATACCATCTCACACCAGTTAGAATGGTGATCATTAAAAAGTCAGGAAACAACAGGTGCTGGAGAGGATGTGGAGAAATAGGAATGCTTTTACACTGTTGGTGGGACTGTAAACTAGTTAAACCATTGTGGAAGACAGTGTGGCGATTCCTCAAGGATCTAGAACTAAAAATACCATTTGACCCAGCCATCCCATTACTGGGTATATACCCAAAGGATTATAAATCATGCTACTATAAAGACACATGCACATGTATGTTTATTACGGCACTATACACAATAGCAAAGACTTGGAACCAACCCAAACGTCCATCAATGATAGACTGGATTAAGAAAATGTGGCACATATACACCATGGAATACTATGCAGCCATAAAAAAGGATGAGTTCATGTCCTTTGTAGGGACATGGATGAAGCTGGAAACCATCATTCTGAGCAAACTATCACAAGGACAGAAAACCAAACACTGCACGTTCTCACTCATAGATGGAAATTGAACAATGAGAACACTTGGACACAGGGCAGGGAACATCACACACTGGGGCCTGTCATGGGGTCGGGGGATGGAGGAGGGATAGCATAGGAGAAATACCTCATGTCAGTGACGAGTTAATGGGTGCAGCAAACCAGCACGGCACATGTATACATATGTAACAAACCTGCACATTGTGCACATGTACCCTAGAACTTAAAATATAATAATAAAAAAAGAAGAGACAATGAAAATCACTATATTATAAGGATCAATTCAGCAAGATGATATTACACTTTTAAATATATATGCAACCAATGCTGGAACAACCAGATATATAGAGTAAATATTATTAGTGCTGAAGACAAAAATGGGCCCCGATTTAATAATAGCTGGACACTTTAACACCACTTTCAGCATGGAACAGGTGTTCCAGACCAAAAATCAACTGAGAAAGATTGGCCTTATTCTGCACTACGGACCAAATGAATCAAATAGATATTTACAGAACATTTCATCCAAGAGCTGCAGAAAACACATTCTTTTCTTCAGCACATGAATCATTCTCAAGGATAGAACATATGTTAAGTCACAAAACAAATCTTAAAACAGTCACAAAATAGTGAAGTAATATTAAGCACCTTCTCTGACCACAATGGAATAAAACAAGAAGTCAAGAAAAAGAAGAATTTTAGAAACACTACAAATACATGAAAATTAAACAATACTCTTCTGCATGACCAGTGGGTCAATGAAGAAATTAAGAAGGTAATTGAAAAAATTTTTTAAACAAATAATGATGGAAACACAGCATACCAAATCCTATGGAATACAACGAAAGCAGTACTAACAGGTACGTTTATATCTATACGTGTTTACATCAAACATAGGAGAAACATGAAATAAACAACCTAATGATGTGTCTTAAAGAACTAGAAAAGTAAGAGCAGATCAAACCCAAATTAGCAGAAGAAAAGAAATAATGAAGATCAGAGTGGAAATAAATGAAATTAAAATGAAGAAAATGCAAAAGGTACTGAAACAAAAAGTTGGTTTTTTGAAAAG